>NC_000013.11:78560946-78713787 GCF_000001405.40 Homo sapiens
ATTTATCTAAACATGGTTCAGTCAGCATTTTGCACAGAGTCATTCACAGGTAGCATTAGCAGCATTCATTCTACTTTTCTAATTTAGTGCACCCAACAAATGTGGAAGTGCAGGCTTGGGAGGGTCAGGGGCTACAGCCAGTCTTTGGAAATTGGCAGATGAGTCTCAAAGGGAGGGAAGAACCACCTAAATCCTAGCTCAGGATTAAACTGTACCATGCCACACGAGGTGGGAGAGTAGAGAGACAGGAAAGGAGAAAGAGCATGACTTCCTCCTTTTTCTACTTGTCCTAGCTTCTTTGACAATTTATTCTGTCCCTCTGTTCAAAAGGCTGGACTTCAGGTGGGTCCAGAGAAGAGGCTTCCCTGCCCTGCAGATCATCGCCAAGCTGAAATTTCCTTTAACTTAAGCCTTTGATGTCTACTTTTAAATGCACAGTGCTACAAAAAACAGACACAGATGTTTATAGCAGCTTTATTCATAATCGCCAAAACATGTATGCAACCAAACTTCAGTAGCTGAATGAATAAATACATCCAGACAATGGAATATTATTCAGCAATAAAAACAAATGAGCTATCAAACTATGAAGACATAGAGGAACTTTAAATGCATATTGCCAAGTGAAAGAAGCCAATCTGAAAAGGCTACACACTGTGCGATTCCAACTACATCACATTGTGGAAAAGGTAAAACTGTAGAGATAGTAAGAAGATAGTTATTGCCAAGGGTTAGGAGGGAGAAAGGCATAAATAGGTTGAGCCCAGAGGATTTTCAGAGCAGCAAAACTTTCTTGTATGATACCGTAATGATAGGTGCATGTCATTATATATTTGTCCAAACTCATAGAATGTACAACACCAAGAGAGAACCCTAATGGAAACTACGCATTCTGGGTGATGATGATGTCAATGCAGGTTCATCACTTGTAACAACTGGACCGCTCTGGTGAAGGATGTTAATAATGGGACAATCTGTGCATATCGGGGGAGGAGTATATTAAAAATCTCTATACCTTCCTCTCAATTTTGCTGTGCACCTAAAATTGCTCTTAAATAAATAAAGTCTAAAACAGCTAGAAGAGAAGATTTTGAATGTTCCTTACACAATGAAATGATAAAAATGTGAGGCGATGGATATGTCAATAACCTAGATTAACCATTATACATTGTAGGCTTATGTCAAAAAATCACCGGTACCCCATAAATATAAATAAATAAATAATAAAGTCTATTTCAAGAACTGCACAGTGCCTAAGAGGGAAAGCATGTTTAGTTTCTTCTGGGCAACACAGGATGGCAAGCAGCACTTTGTGAGAGCTCAGGGGGAGAGTGGACACTGCTGTAGGAGGAAAGATCCCAGGCTCAGAGGCCAGCAGGTAGAAGACAATCTCAGTCAAATTCATATTTTTGCCCTGGGCCAGATGTGTCTAAAAGCTTCACGCTTTTGCACAGCTCCTCCCCCAGGAGTAGCAACTGACGGAGGGGTCACATGCTTATTTCCCCAGTCTCACCCCCTGGGTAAACGTCAGAAGATCTGCTGATGGACCTTTCAATTTCACTTCCTTCCTTTGCCTCCTGTGGATGATGGTTTGCAGGGAGGGAGGAATTTTAATAACACATGAAACTTTCAATTCCTGTGAATAAAACGGGGAAGGCTTGTCAACTCTGCTCAGGGCTGTCAGAGCCATGGGGCAGGGCAGACAAGCGAGATTCTGGTTTGAACTTTGTACCTTATTCCTGGATCAAAGCTTCATTTCTCTGGCTATACCTTTGGAGTTTAATTACCATAATACAAGGCCAGGGGAAAGGAAACTGTGCTGCCTACCTGTCATTCTCTACCTTAGGGCACTATACACAGTGCCTGGCACATGGTGGGTTCACAGAAATATTGACTGAATAAATAGAGGATGGATGGATGGGTGGATAAATGCATAGATGGGTGGATGAACTCAATGTACCTAAGCATTGTTTTATTTAATTCTCACAATCCTATAAGGCAAGTGCTATTGTAGCCACATTTCCTCCCTCCCTTCAAGCCATCATGCACATGAGGCAAAGGATAAGAGAAAAAAAGATGAGGCAGTGGAAACTAATATGTATGAGTTAATATGCATACCCAGTATTTTTACTTCAAAATCCATTTTTTTGTGAATGTGATGCTTACTGTACTGCCATTTCTCATACACGTCAGGATATCACCTCAGGAAACTGGAGTACGTAAACCCTAATGGAACAGGCTATGATCCTAGTAGTATTATAAGTTGTGAAGATAGAAGGTAAGGAAATGGTTTACCTCTCTGATCACCAAGGAGCCATGCAGAACTCCCAGCAATAGAAAGAGCTGAGCATCTTGGCCAGTCCTCCTGTGTCCTAGCTTTGATGTATGTGGTGTAACTAAGAACAGATTAAAGAAATATGGTACCTGTGTTGTGGATCATATGTTTAACATCTTTGGTTTGTTTTCCTTGCTCATGATGAAGTCTGTAATAGACTTAACCTCATTTAAATCACTGTGTTTGTGGACAGCACACAATCCTCCCTTACCATAGAAGTTACTCAGATATGTAGAACTCTAGTATCTTTAGCTGGAGAGGAAACCTGTGGGAGGGAAGGGCTGATGGGGAATTAGAAATAGAATTCCTGAGAAATTGGATAACTTAATCTGGAGAAAAAAACTGAAAATGCAAACAATGGCACATTGATTCTGTAGAATTAATTGTAAGAAAGATATCATCAAATTTTTTCTCCATTTTTCTGTCAGAATCAGAGTGTAAAAGTAAACTATAGTGGGAGGAATGCATGTAATTCCATACCTGTACCCCTTTGCCACCTGGAAAACTACTTTTGTGCCAAGTTCCCGAGTTACTAGAATGATTTAAATCAAGCTGGTCTCTCCAATCAATATTTTTTCTAAAGGAAGTGTGGGATATAGTGGAAGGAGCTCAGAAGTTCACCTGGATCTGACACAGAGAAGAGGAACACTAGCTAGCTGGCAGACTTTAGCAGGATCAGAGCCAATGTTCAAAAAAGAAGGAAATAGAACAGGGAAACAAAGCCCACTGAATTCTATTGAGCAGAATGACAATAATGGATGTCTTGTTATAGACAGAACCCGGCTAAGACCTCTAATTCCATTGCCTCATTTAGTCGTTACAAGAATAATTATTGGTAGGTACTATTTTTTATCTCCATCTTAACAATAGTAAAAGAAGTCTCAATCATGTTGAGCCTCATCTTTTTTCTTTCATTCTCAAGAATATAAAATAAAAAATAAATTTTAAAAAAAAGAAAGCTCCGAAAGGTTAAGCAACTTATTCAAGCTTATACAGTAGGTGGCAAAGCTGTAATCCAAACCCAGACCATTATGATTCCAATCTCTAATCTTGGTTACTAATATATAAACCCAAATAACTAACAAGTCAATCAACCTTATTTTTTCCTGATCTCCATTTATATTGGAAAGATAAAAGCAAACAATAAGATAACAGAGATCTAACTTTAAAACAAATTAAAACACGTCCACACTGCTCTCAGAGCAGTACAAAGTCAGCTGTATTATTACCTCTATTTCCCATTTATTCAGTCAGTCAATTGTTCCACAGAAATTTATTACAAATTTATGTTTAGGCTGAACAAAGATCTGAATAGGCAAGCTTATTATGTCTGTTATATCTGTTATATTATATGCAATATATGTACTGTATATGCCTATTGTACATTTATTATAAATGGGAAATTTATACAAAATATTTTAAACACAATGGTAAACAGCCAGAAATACATTTTGAGGAGAGGAGGAGTTCTGCTTTTCTCACAGGTTAAATCAATTAACCACTCTCTTAACATTACAGCTTTTTGAGGTTTTACTGTAGTGTTTTTTGTGTACTTATATCATTTGCTAATAACAACTAAGGAAATGTCCAGCTAGTTACCAGGGAAGCTCAACTACCTCTAAGCCTATCATTATTAGAATTCAATAATACGCAAATCAATATCAAGATTGAAAAAAGAAAGGAAGGCCCAAAGTGTTCCTTGAAAAGACAGCTTCTCATAGAATGACGGACAACCAGGTTTTATTTACTTCGTAGCTAATTTGAAAAATGCTTTTGAGGGTTGGAAGATGTTTGAGGAAATACAACTGGCTACTAGCCAACTACAATACTGCTTCCCAAAAGGGTCCACCCATCAGACTAGAATAACGGAGCTCCTTCTGAGGAGTCCAGGGAGGAATTACTGGAAATGGCAAAGTATATTAGACCTAATATTATCCCACAACATAACATGATGTATTAACACTCTGCCTGAATTCAAGATGTTTATTGATTTCTTAAATCTTAACTAGGTTACATTTGCATTATATAGTACAAAAGAACCATTTTAAGTTATTTCTGTTCACATCTCAGGCTGAGTATTTTGCCTAAAATATTTCTTCTCTGACTGAATTTATAGAGTGAACTGAGATGATACAAGTAACCAAAGTTAATCATAAAATATTTACGTGCATTAAATACTGCATTTATTCATAGTCAGAGGCCAAAATAATGTTTAAATGGGAGCATGTCTGATAGTAATATCAAATTGAGATAAATTTGTGAACGATAGTTTGATTGCATGGAATCTAATAACTAAGTTGAGGTCCAGTGTTATGTAAAAGAAACAAGAAAAACGTTCGGCCTAAATTTTTTTTAAAAAGTGAGATTGACAATTTAAATAAGTGTGTACTAATTTCCTGCAGCATAGCACTTGCTCAGAGGTCATGTATCCTGCAAGCCCAACTATCCGGAAAGACAGGACTAGGAAAGACCTCTGCACCATCAAATAAACATCAAAGTTTCATCAAGTTAGGCTGACCTGGGCTCATATTCAGGCACCACATTGGAGGTTTATTTCACATAAGTCACTTCACTACCTTGAGTATATTTTCAACTGTACCCTAATTTACAGGGCTGCTGTCAGAATTAGTGTTAATAGAAGTGCCTTCAAAGTGCTGACACATAATAGGCTCTCCACGGAAAGTAATTAGCATAGCGTTATGGGCTAAATTGTGTTTCCCCAAAATTCCTATGTTGAAGCCCTAATCTCCAGTACCTGAGAATGTAACTGTATTTGGACACTGGGCCTTTAAAAAGGTAATTAAGGTATTATAGGTTATATGGGTGGGATCTAATTAAGTATGACTCGTGCCATTATAAGAAGAGGAAATTCAGGCTGGGTGCGGTGATTCAGGCCGGGCGCGGTGGCTCAAGCCTGTAATCCCAGCACTTTGGGAGGCTGAGGCAGGTGGATGACCTGAGGTCAGGAGTTCAAGACCAGCCTGACCAATATGATGAAACCCCATCTCTACTAAAAAATACAGAAATTAGCTGGGCGTGGTGGCAGGCGCCTGTAATCCCGGCTATTCGGGAGGCTGAGACAGGATAATTGCTTGAACCCGGGAAGCGGAGGTTGCAGTGAGCCAAGATCGCGCCAGTGCACTCCAGCCTGGGCAACAAGAGCAAAACTCCGTCTCAAAAAAAAAAAAAAAAAAAAAAAAAAAAGAGGAAATTCAGACACACGAATAGACACCACAGGGACACATATACACAGAGAGACCACCCAGAAAAGAAGCAGCAAGAGGGAAACTATCTGCAAACCAAGGAGAGAGGCTTCAATAGAAACCAAATCTTTGACACCTCGATCTTGGACTTCCAGCCTCCAGAGCTGTGAGAAAATAAATTTCTGTTGTTTACACCACCCAGACTAATGGTGTTTTGTTATGGCAACCCTGGCAAACTAACACGTATAGCGATTGCCACCTTCTTCAAAGTAGCGTTGTGTGAGAGAAGGACGTCTAACATTTGAGTGACACTTTGATTGATGCAAATTCCTAGACTTTAAGGTTTTTTATGCATTTGGCATTTATACCCACATCTAGTACAGCGGGCCTGGCACATAGTACACTCTCATTAAGTATTTGTTGAACATATTAATGAGTGAATACATGAATGAATGAATGAATGAATGTTAATTAGAGGCTCTAGTGCCAGGTATGCTACCACAGACAAATTCACAGAACAATGCCTAAGTGCTTATTATATGCCAGGCACCATGCAGTAAACACTGTAAAAACCTAATGCAAAAATATAACTCCTTAGGAATTTGAAGGTATTTTGAATAAGGAAAAATGGTCCATGTGACCCCGTCATTATCTTTGCAAACATGCTGTGTAATCACTGGTCTAGAGAGGCAGTGGTGTGTATGAGAAGGAGCACTAGGCTTAAAGCCAGAACACTTGCCTGCTTTCTTGTTCTCCCACATAACAGAGGACATTTAGACATGCTAGCCTCAGTTTCCCGTTTTGTAAAAAACAGGAGTATTGATGCCTATCTCACCTCTGGCATAAAGCCGTGGTGAAGATAAACCAGAAGGTATGTGTGTGAAAATGATCTATAGACTGTTATGTGAATTAAAGGCAACCAGTTCCTAATGGTAGCCTTGAATCATTAAGTAAATACTAGTTTATATTCTGCACATTATGTTTTAATATGAAAGTAGGCACATAAAAGATTTTTAAAGCATTCTATCTAAATAGGTGATCTGCTTAAAAACTTCGGGCCACTTAAAAGTTTTTCTGGAAAGTTCACTTATGTGGAAGGACTCATTCTGGATGATTCTGGATAAATGTAGTCACTCTTCCTTTTTTTTAAGATGGTATTTCTGATGATAATTATTTGAAAGCTTTTTGCTTTGGGCAGGTTTGACCCTTAGATTCATGATCTTTATAAGTATTGTAGTAGTATCAATGAACATGTTCCAGTGAAAAATAAAATTTATTTTATTGGATGATAGTGATGCAGGAAAAAAGACATCTGTGCAAACAGCAATGTATTTTAAGTTGTCTTAGCGGTTTATTTTTAATATGTTTATATTTCACTTATCAATTCTAAAAGCTGAAAACGAAAAACATAAAACTTTATTCCATAGACATACCCACAACACATTTAGTCCTGAATTACACACAACCAATAGAAAGAAAAACAAGAATCAAGAAGGGGTGGGGGGGAAGAAAGAGCAAAATATAGAGAAATAAACTCAATATGTAGCAAAACCCTGAGGTGTAACAGTAGAATTCAATTTTTTAAAATATTGGCAACCTTTAACTTTGTAATAAATGGTAACAAAAACTTTAATGAATGTTTAGATTTCTAATTAAATGTTTACAACACAAATCTTCTCAATATCTCCTTTTCTTTGTTTTCAGTGGAGAGAATACCTAGTTTCATGTTGTAAATGTATGTAAAGTTCTATTGCATTGTTTTTATAGAAACAATACCTTAATGCTAATGCACTGACAGCATAATCACATGGTCTATTATGAAACCATAACAAATAACTTTAAAATCTAAGCTGCCTTTTCACAATTGAGGGCATAAGCAGTTTTTAAATATCTTAGTAATAATATGGATAATTGGATTACTTTTTCCAGGGTATTTTTGTGAAGTAAACCTGAAACAAAATTGTAACCCATTCACTCTAATTGAGCTGGGAATAATAATTGGTTTTGGTTCTATACTTGTAACCCATGTGTCATCATAGACTAAGCTTCTTCATTAATAAAGGGATGCATAAATCCTTGACTTCTAAAATTAATGTGTGAATACAGTCAGATGATTGGATATAATTGGTGGAGATACCTACATAACAGTAGGTGCATTCAGATTAAGAAAATAAAAAAATGCATTATAAATGCAACGTACCACTAATATAATGTTCCTGAGTTGGCCCCAAAGCATCACTACATAGACCTGTCTTCAGACCAGGAGGATGACATACCATTTTGTAAGTCTAATAAAACTTGCGCCCAACAAGGAAAAAAAAAAAAATCTTATGTATTTTCTAGGTGTCAACAGTCTTCAGACTGTTTTATTCTATGAGAATTTTATTTCCTTTTGGGATAAGCTTTGTTCCTGTCCTTCTCAACATCAACATATTAGTCAACAATTTCCTATGCCATTATAGATACATTATAAATACTATTGCTACATTAACAATAGCTTATTTTATCATAAGTGTGTTATTTGAGTATCTTACCTTATTTCCTGTTTAAATTTTTTCTAACTCATAAAAACATCCAAACACAATAACTTGAAAAAGATAATACAATGAACACACATATACCTTCCATTTAGATTAAATAATTGTTAATATTTTTTCATATTTTCTTTGTGTGGATATATGCATAAATACATTCTTAAATATGCCACAATATTATTATACCTAATAAAATTGAAAAAGTATTACGCAATTTTTATGAAAAAAATTATTCCATAAATATAGAATATCCCACATTCTAGATCTAAGTAGTTGTTTTCTAACTTTAACTTATACAGAGGTATAAGTCTCTTGTATTTTCTAAACTGGAATTTAGGTTAGAGGTTTGATTAGATATAGATTAAATTTCTGGCCAGAATAGTTCATAAAAGTGATACTAGATACTTCAAATCTTATTATATAGTAGCAACTAATGTCAGGCTGTTATTCTAGGTGTTATGCTATGATTGACCATGTAGTTAAGGTGATGACCACCTGGCCCCTCCTTTGTAAACATAAAATTTTCCCATTTCTATTAGGCCATGAATATCCTACCCCTCAACAACCTTTCACCCAATGGCTTAGCATCCACTGATCACATACACCTGAATCAATTATTACATTAGGGACTATAAAGTGAGAATTTTCTGACATTATCATTCTTCCTACATTTATAAGTTAGCATTTTTCTCTCAAGAAGAATTTTTTGGCCGAGCGCAGTAGCTCATGCCTGTAATTTACCCAGCACTTTAGAAGGCCAAGGCAGGTGGATCATGAGGTCAGGAGATCGAGACCATCCTGGCTAACACAGTGAAACCCTGTCTCTCCTAAAAATACAAAAAAAAAAAAAAAAAAAAATTAGCTGGGCATGGTGGCAGGCGCCTGTAGTCCCAGCTACTCAGGAAGCTTAGGCAGGAGAATGGCATTAACCCGGGAGGTGGAGCTTTCAGTGAGCCAAGATCATGCCACTGCACTCCAGTCTGGGTGACAGAGCAAGATTCTGTCTCAAAAAAAAAAAAAAAAAAAAAGAATTTTTCTTAGCTTTTTTCCCTTTCCCATAATTCAATATTCTTTCTTTTTATATTTTTTTAGTTTTGATAATTTGTCTAATGTAAATATTATTCCTATTTTATAAATGAAGAAACTGAGCCACAAAGAAGTTCAGCAACTTACTCAGCATAACTAGTAAGTGACAGATATGAACATGGAACTTAGATCTCTGACTCTTATTCCTATACAGTGGCAAATATATCACAGTTACCTCCATTGATACGATGCATCTGTTCAACCCCCTCAATAACCAAAGATTTTTTCCTGAAGTACTTCAGCTGTGGAACTGTGAATAAGCCTTTCCTTAGAAAATTCCAAGAACAGACATGTAAATATCCCCAGTACAGGCTGTAGGGTTCGGATTATTATAAATGGAAAATGGAAGCAATAGCAGACAAGAATTGGGATGATATTCCTCACCCCACACTCCTGTAATTAAAAGTCACACTGAAAATCTTGGAAACTTTTAGAGGAGGGAAAAATGAAATACAAACTCATCCAGTTTTTGGACCAAACCCTTGAAAGCAGCAGTTATACAATTTCCAGGTAATTCCCTTACTGGCCTTCTCATTTTTTGACAGGGGAGAGGTGGCTTTTTTCAGCATGAAGCTAATTTTGTTCTATTATAATGAAATCTACAAATGTTGGACATATTTCCACCTGGACAACCAGTACAGTCTCCATCTATGCATTTTCTTTTGCTCCTTTTTTCTTTTTTTGCCTTTTCTTATTTCTTTATCTGCAAAAGATTTACTAATAAGAGCATATGAGGTTATGTAAGATAAATAGTAATCAAAGTTTCCAAATAGCAGGCTTTTTCTACTCCTCTTTACTTCAATTCCTTTTCTTTTTTCTCTTTTCCTCTTTCTCACTCTACTTTGATATTCCTTCCTGAAAAGAAGAAAAAATGTTTGGCCACTTATTAAAAAAAAACTTATTTTTTATTAACAAGCATTTAATACCAAGTGCCTGTGATTAGACAGATACAGTAAAAAATCTTAGGGACACAAAGAGTAGTAAAAATTTTTCTAGAAAGTGGCAGAGAAAGTATCTGTTATAATGTCATGTCATGAATACAAAAATAATGGTATGTGCACAGTGACTTGGGGAGCTCAGAGGAAGAACTATCCTCAGCAACATGACTCAAAGGGCTTTCGAAGGTCTCTGCCTCCCATAAGCACTGATAAGGGATGAGCAGTTGCTTCATTTCAGTGTAACAGGGGAAAAAATTATGGCTGTCTGTTTATTTTAATTAAATAAGAATCTAAAGGGGAGATTATTTTGAACATGAGCTAATCTCAAAGAGTGAGCCTGTAGGAAAAAACGTTGCCTGGGTGATTTGTTAGAAAATGAGAGCAAAAACCCTGGGACCCTGAAAATAATATTCCTGAGCAGAATTTGCAAAATCACAGCCCAGCACAGCCCACAGTAGCGCATTCCCAGAATTATTCTTTCAGCCGTCAGCACCACATTTACCTCCCATCCTTCAGGAGCAGGGCTGTTTCAGCTCATTTTATTAGATGATCTCAGATCCATATCAAGCCATAATTAAACAACAGAGCCCCAGGATGAGAGAACTCCCCCTAGGAAAGATCCCCCAAGACCCTAAGCCCAGCTGTAGAAAGCCATGTTCTAAAGTTCAACTGAAGCTGCCTCCTGAGTGAACTTGCTGCGTGACCTTGAGCAAGTCATTTAACATCCCCGTGTCTCAGTTTCCTCATTTGTACAATGGGGACCAGGCTGCTGACCTTCCTCCCGGGCCCACTTTGAGAAACAGATCATTAGCAATTATAAAGTACTTTGAAAATGTAAATGCTGAATTATAATTTTAATCAACAAGTCAACCTTGGTGCTTTCCACTCAATCACTCCCTCTTGGGCAAACAACCAAAACCACTGGCTGACCCAGGCACTCTGAGCCCAGCATTCACCCCTTGCACAAAACATGGCTTCTCTAGAGACCCACTGGGAGCCCTTCCCTTCCCTTGTCAGCACGCAGCAACTGTCTTTCAACCACTGATCAGGAAACTGGAACCCCAAATGTGAAGAGTATTCAAGTTCATGCTTAAGATATCTCAACCAACCCAAGGAAATTCTGATGAAGAAAATAACAGGCCCATGCCCAGTGATCTGGGAACCACATTTCCTCTGGATTTGTGAAAGTTTCTCAGTTGGAAAATTATGTGTATATTAATTAATTTTCTAGCAAATATTTGCTGAACACCTAAAAAGTACACACTGGAATAAAACTTTACAGCTCAGCCAGTAGGAATCCTACAGCAGTGAGACCAATGTTCTATGGCCCAGTGATCCCTGCTAGAAGATTAAACCACAGTCTAAAGCTAGGCAGTCATGTTACAGGCCATCCAATGCCTAACAAAGACCAAGTGGTAGGGAGGAGGGGCTGCGCAAACACACAAGCACATAAGTCCTCGGTGGGTGTCTAGCTTTGCTTGGCCTTCAGATCTCTCAAAGAAGTTAGTGTCAAACATTATCTTTGTAAACATGACTTTAAAACAGATAAAGCAGTCAATCAAGCCCTGGATTCGATTTTAACTGGACCCTCCTTGATTCAGAATAATAAGCGTGCCAATTCCTTTAATAATAAATACACTTTGAACTGAAACCAGAGATGCTTCCTTTATCACTTGTTGAGTAAGTTGGGTCGTAAACCTAAGTTCAAATAAGTGCAAAGAAAATATCACTAAAATTAATTGTTTTAGACAGAGTAAAACATGGACTCTTAAAGTGGTTGTATTTTCTTTCACATTTAATGTGAGCCATTTAAGAGCTAATACACCTATCTTAGTCGTTAGACATTTCAACACCTATTAGTCATAAATTTGGTATGATTGCACCTGTCAGGAACTTGCAAAATAAAGTCAATGTGTAGAATAGGCACTGGGCTAGGAATTAGATAGATTCAGGACCCAAGCAGACACTTTCTAACTGTGACTTTGGGGATCACTTAAATTCTCTCAGCTTGCATTTCTTCCTCTACAAAGTAAGAATAATAATAAGTGTCCTTCTTACATCCAGGGTCATTGTGAGGCACTAATGGGATGACGTATGTGAAAATATTCTGTGAACAATAAACCACGCTCCAAGTTTAAGAGATAATGGTGAGGATTACTTCTATTAAATCTTCATGGGATAGGTGAATTTGGAATCTCCTCACTGAATGAATTTTAAAAAAGGTATACAGATATTAGTATAGTGCCTGTGGGTAGTAATAAATATGCATTGATTATCATGAAGAGAAAGATATGAAAAAGTGTTTTCCTCAGATTCTGTTTTTGATTAAAAAGATATAACTGGCTTTAGTATGCTTTTCACAGCTATCACATTTATGATCTTTGCAATTAACTTCTAAAATATTCATATTTAAATGGCATGCTATAAAAATAATGGATTCAGAAAATTACCATATGTGGCAAGAGTAAAGAAAAAAACAAAACATTTCTCTCCATCCCAAGAATTTTCAGAAGTTACAGAATCATAGTTAATAAAATTCAGTGTTCTCTCGGACAGTATATACTCATGAATAGAATATTATTTTGAAGATAATTTAACTCCCTGGTATTACCAAAGCCTACAGAATACTGCTACTTGCTATGATTATATACATGACAAAATATAATAAATGGATGTACAAGCAGGTGAAACGCAATGTAGATTGCCAAAAGGGTCGTGAAGTGTACAAATGTTAACAATATTTTTGGAAGTATTAATATAAACAAATTAATGTAAAAATACTAAAATAACATTTAAATGAATTATAGATACATTTTATAACAATGTAAGTTTAGTCAACATTGCACTTTCTCTGTAAAAAACTTTTTTCACATTTTTCTAAATACCTTTGAATATATTCACCTGCCGTTTATTATTTATTTAGAATATAACAATTTTTGCTCTGTGCACAGAGAAGATTTAGGATAATTTTTTATATAATTCTATATAACCAGCCTTCACATACTTGAAGACAAGTTTGGAAGCAAATATGCACTCAAACCAGCCGTCCAAGATGGCTAACTTAGAAGACAGGGAAGATAAAAAGTCATTGATGAAGTGAAAGGAAAGACAGAATCAATATTCCTCTCTCTCTCTTTCTCTCTCTCTCTCTCTCTCTCTCTCCCCCCCCCCACCCCTTCCCTCCTCTTCTTGCCCCACCCCTGTTCTCCGTCTATCTTTAGGAAAGTGTGCAAGAGAGAACCACTAAGGAGGCCACAGTGTTTTATTCTAATCTCAGAAAGGACATGCCATAACTCTTGCTGTACTCTACTCATAAAAGCAAGGCACTAGGTCCTGCCCATACTCAAAGGGAGAACATTACACAGGGTATGAACACTAGGAGGCAGAAATCATTAGGGACCCTTTTAGAGCCTGCCTACCATGAATAGCTTTGCATATCAGACTTAGATTACTCAGGAAATGCAAAGCAATGCCAGGTATATTTATTACATTTGTGATTGGAATGGAGCAAAATTAATATGATCAGCATAACTGACTCTACCGTAAAATGCCTTTGATGAATCTATTTTTTCCAAAATAACCCAATTTAGTCATTTTCAAATTGTTTTGCATCAAACCCCTAAACACTAGAGAGTACCTAAGATGTGCCAGGCACTGGGCCCAGCACTGACAGAAGAAAAAAAACAGCCTCTGACTTCAAGGGGCTTTTAGTTTTGAACTTTGCAAATTCTTTTTAAATTTTGTAGTTATTTGGGCTTTGTTTTGTTTAAACAAGGAACAATTGCTCCACTAAATAAATATGGACTTACATGTGACTTTACAAAGAGCTGCAAGACACTCAATTATCAATACTTCACTAAACGTTAGACCTCCTAGATAAATAGACGAAGACTGATTTTGGTTATACTAATAAGTAAAAGAATTAGACTGCCTGTCCTAAACCACAAGGTAAGACTATATATATATAGGAATATATTTTACCTGAGTGTCTATCCAGTTTCCTAATCACTAGGTATTACCACATTTCTCTGAGCTCAACAAGCCAGCCAGTATAGAATTATCATCAATTTCACAAACCTACTTATATAGTTCATTCTATCTCTTTATCCTCTTTATCCCTTGATTTTCTATAATTGCAAAAGTCTTCACACTCTGCAACTCTGTTAGCATTAACTCATTCAGCTTTTCTCTGCCCTTGTTGTTGCCTTAAAGCATTTAACTGTAACACCACATAATTGTTTTACACCTCCTCTTTTTCATTCCATAGGATCATGTTTCACCATAAATCTTTGAGACCACTTTCAAAAAGCCATATCAGATGTATTTTTGCTCTTTGGAAGTCTTGTTCTTTAAGGGACTTGTAATCAGTTCAGTTCAGCTTTAAGTTTCTCTTAGTTGACAACAGCCTAAAGGACCATGTTTCCATTCTAAAGGGCTTTGATCTTCATCTCATGCACCAAACCAAATCATGCCTATTACAATAGTTCACACTGGAATTTCCAGTATCTGCAATTTCTTTCCCTTTCTGAAATCAGATAAAGGGATAGTCTGCAGATGACTGATAGTCAGCTAGGCAAAATACCTGAGTCCTAACTTAGAATTGGCTCTTTATCTAAAGTAATTTCAGGAGAATTATTTCATAATAACATGATATTCTGTAGTCCATTTACATAAAAGTGAATTCAGTTATGTTTCCCATAGTTTAGTAGGACAAGCTGGAGATTATAACAAATAGGTAAAGAATACTGGCCGGGCGCGGTGGCTCACGCCTGTAATCCCAGCACTTTGGGAGGCCGAGGCGGGCGGATCACGAGGTCAGGAGATCGAGACCATCCCGGCTAAAACGGTGAAACCCCGTCTCTACTAAAAATACAAAAAATTAGCCGGGCGTAGTGGCGGGCGCCTGTAGTCCCAGCTACTTGGGAGGCTGAGGCAGGAGAATGGCGTGAACCCGGGAGGCGGAGCTTGCAGTGAGCCGAGATCACGCCACTGCACTCCAGCCTGGGCGACAGAGCGAGACTCCGTCTCAAAAAAAAAAAAAAAAAAAAAAAAAGAATACTAACCTGTTCATATTGCTGTTGATTTGACTTTTCTGTAGTGATATAAGATGCCATACAGAATGCATTTATGGTGTTTGACACCTGCTTAAGCCTTTGACACTTCATCTGCTTAAGCCTTTGACACTTCAACTCTAATTCATATCAATAAGAAGGCACAATAAGCAATATGACTGTCAGGGATCTGTAACTCCGAAAAACTTAGAGAAAAGCATTTCTGAAGAAAGGACCATAAAATATAGTGACTTACACAATTGAGTTACATAAACATCACTGGATCCATGAGTTGATACCATAAAATCTAAATGTATGTAACAGTGAATGGTCATAGGAACATAAATTGCGTCACTGACAATTAGGCAATCTGGGACCTGTAAGGAAATTAAATGTGTTCATGGCTTCTACTGCGGTTAGTAACATACAATAAAGAGCAAAACGGAGCCTCCAGAGGGATTCTGAAAAAGGTTGTAGACAGATGTTATGAAACTTAAGGTCCAACAGAAGTGTATTTAGGTCAAGGAAAAAGATTGAACAAGGAAAGAAAGAGCAGAAACAGAATTTGTTGTGTGACCTCTAGAAGCAGTTTCAATAGGAAATAGTCTTGACTCATACTTTCTAAAAAAAAAAAAAAAAATGAAATTAGCTCTGAACTACTGTTAAACTGACATCAGAAATCTGGATCTAATTGGAGTTACATAAGAAATATTGTAGTATTTGAGGGTTCTATACATAGTCCATAGAAAATGGATTGTTTTTGAAAACAAGATTCAAAGCAGTGTTACTTTCTTAAACAAGGCTTGTTTCATATAGCCATTCAGTTGAATTAAATTTTCTTAGAAAAGCCATTTTAATTCTTTTACATAGTCTTCCTCTTTTTGACATACATATAAAGATATAGAAATGGATGTATTTAACAGAAACACAAGTCACATTGAAGTTATTGGAATTTACATATATATGGATACATATATGTATTCAAAATTATGTTTGATTCTTCAATGAAAGTATGAAATACAAGAGAATAATCCTATGTAAACTCAGCCTATATCCTAGATGTAATCTTGCTAGTCCTATATATATAGAAGGAAGCCATTTGTAGTATAGCTGTCTTCAGATAGCAGACTTATTTAAACAATTCTGCTTACAGAGAATTTACCAAAATTTCATCTCCTTTCCCTTCATTCCAACTTATCACTCTCTTATTTCCACCACTTCCTCTCCTAACCCCTGCCTCACACACACATAGAGACACAAACACACCACTTATTCTAGACTAGATCACTGCCCTAGGCTATGCTTGGCTTCTAAAAATCCTTCAAGAACTACAGGATGATTGTATATTTAGAGTCTACCTTACCCCCAGCTCTCTCCACCCCTGTCATGAAGAGAATGAAAACATTACATCAGTTGTCCTGACATGGGAAAGGATCCTTGCAACTCCTTAGTAATAGACAAGGAGGGTCAATTCCTAATTGCACTCATTCCTACCTCCTTTAAGAGGTGGGCCCAGCAAAGAGTGGTTTGCTGTTTGTTAGGCACTAACTCCACAAAATTGGGCCTCCTACAAAAGGAGAGAATAATAAAAATATATTTACACATGTAAACTATATTTCTACTGCCATGTTTTGAGCCATAGAATTTAGGATGGCAAGGAATTATATACTATATCTTTAAAATATAGAAATAGTATAAAAATAATCATCAAGAAAGCCTGCATATACCTCTTTGTTACGATGAGGATACCAACTTGGTTTTCATTTGAAATTTTTGAAAAAGAGTGGCAACCAAAAATACATCATATTATATTAAATATGTCTCTGGTTTTTGGGGAGCTTTTGGGGTTTTTTGTTTGTTCATTTTTTGTTTTTGTTTTCTGAGACAGAGTCTTGCTCTGTTGTCCAGGCTAGAGTGCAGTGGTGTGCTCTCAGCTCTCTGAAACCTCCACCTGCCAGGTTCAAGCGATTATCCTGCCTCAGCCTCCTGAGTAGCTGGGATTACAGGCACATGCCACCACACCCGGTTAATTTTTCTATTTTTAGTAGAGACAGGGTTTTACCATGTTGGCCATGCTGGTCTTGAACTATTGACCTCGTGATCCACCCGCCTCGGCCTCCGACAGTGCTGATATTATAGGCATGAGCCGCCACGCCTGGCCCAAACATGTTTAAAGTATGAAATTTTTGCAGTTGAGACATAAAGCTAAGGACCACAAAACCCTCAAACCTTTAAAGAAAAGTGAGAGGAAAAGAAAAAAATGACTTCTACCAAACACCAAACTGAGTTTTTTTTTCCCCATTTTTACTTTAATCGCCTTTTGTGATCCTAGTTTACACATTCTGTCAACCTTGTTTACAAATTACTTTCTTTTCTTTGATAGTAAGAAGAAAGCCCAAAGACAAAACCAGAGGCAACTGGCTGCTGCATCGCCCACCTAGTGGCAGTAGTGTGAGCTATGGACAAAAGATCTAAGTCTCCAGGACAAAGAGTTGTGCAGCTGCTCATTTTCCTGTTGACTTCTGTCTAAGACTTGGAGATGTTTGTAAGATTGGGACCTACCTACAGAGGTATCACACTCCTCTTGGTCTAACTCACTCTTGAACTGACATTCGTGGTGAATTTCTTTTGTCACTTAGCATATTAGAAGAGATGTTTTACTATAATTCTCACAATCAATCCATAAGCAAGTGGTTAAAGGCCTTTTTGTACTTAGTTATCTCAGCACTGTCAGGGATGGCTAAAGAGAATAAGCATGGCCTCTGCTTTCCATTTTTTAACATATGACAACTAAAATACAAAAAAACACAAGTTATGACAAACATATAATGCTTCCTCTAGACAAGCATTGCAGCTTGGCATTGCACTAAGTGTTTTGATACTAATCCATTAAATTCTCCCACCACCCAACAACGTAGAATATATCAGAGAGTGAAGCATGGAGAATTTATATAATTTGCTCAAGGCTACAAAGCTAATAAATGTGGAGCCAGGATTCAAATGTAGGCATTCTGATTCCCTAGTCTATGCTCTTACCCAGCATGTTATGCTGATGCTCAAAACAGTTGAGTGTTATATTAATTTAAATAAAAAAGATAAATTAGAGCTAGAGAGTGTGTAATAGGCTCCATGGAGAAAGTCAAATGGACTTGGAACTTGGCAACTGAAGAGACCATGGCCAGACAAATGGCAAGAAATTCTGGCAAGAAGAACAATAGGCATGGAGTGTCCGCAGCAGAGGAAAGAAGCCAATCTCACTACAGTGGACGGAAACAAGGAGAAATTAAATGAGATCATTAGAATGGAAAAGATTGTAGAAATCCAGATAATTTATAGTGAAAATTGAATTTCTAAGAGGGTGAAGTTAAAATTGGGTTAATAGACACTATCTCAAAAATGTAATCTGTTACATTACAACAGAAACAAAGCTTCTCATGACATGCAGAGATCCATAAATGACTGTTTTACTTTTGGCAAAATTGAAAAGAGAATAATAGTGACTGCAGGGTCAAGATTAATGCATGCTGATTTTTAGGTAACATGGGAGAATTAAAGAGCCAGAGTTTCACTACTGGCCACCAACAGTCCATTTTAATGTGTACTCAGTCTTTGTGACCTCTGTCCATTAGAGATATATCAAACTTGTATTTAAACTGAAATGTGATTAGAGCCATGAGGCCTGCCTGGAGGTAAAGCAGGTTGAGAAAAATTTCCTCAATGACACATTCTCTATGGAAAGTCTTTCTCAAAGGAAAAGAAATTGTGTCCTACTGGCAAAAAGCAGAAAAGGAAGTGGGGAGGGGAAATGGAAAAACATCTAAACCATCTCTGGGGAAAAGGTGATACTAAATATAAACTGGCCATCAACATAGTGAAGCTGAAGAAGGCAAGGGGTGTCTAAATGTATCATCAGAAAAGTTAAGAAACAGGGCAAAGTAGGCTAGCTTAGGAACATCAACAGAATATTGGAAGAAGAACAGGGGGCAATTTTATAACCTCTCAATCATTTCCAACTTCTTACAGTGCTCCAGAAAAGAAAAAGTGTCCTTGATAAGAATGATTTATTGAACAATTATCTCTTTCCGCCCTCAGCTCTCTGGAACTGGACAACAGACAGATCTGGTGAATTATAATTATGGAGTTCTCCAGAAGAACTTCCTCTCAAGGATGCACAATTTTCCAGTTAGTCACAAGGCAGCATCACAAGCAAAATGGGGCTCTCTCTTTATTTAACAAGGCCTATCTTCTACACACAGTTTCTGCAATTTCCGCTTCTCCTTATGTGTATCTTTCTCTGCCCTTTTGTATGTTCCACTTATGTAGGATTGTTTGCCCCACAGTCACACACAATACAATCATCATGCTAACCCCCTCCCCAAAAACTCCCTACTCCCTTTTCATCTCTCCCATTGCTCCTCCACACTGGTCCTGCGCTGGCCTGTTTGCTCCCTGAGTAAATTAGATCCCTGCATGTGCTGCTCATCTTCCCTCCCTCCACCTTCCACCATACTCTCTTCATGTCCACATCTGCCTCTTGGCAAATGCCCTGTGGAAGAGAGATTTTTCCCAGGCTCTCCTCCCTTGTAGGTCTCTTTGTGCCTCCGCATCCTGAGTTTCCTCTGACTCTTGTTTCTTTCTGCTTCTTGTGACAGCTATGGTTACAGCTAACAAGCATGGGAGGAAGGATCTGAGGGAAAGTTGTGCTTTTGGTTCACTAAATCCTTAGATTTGATTTGGGTAGTCAGAAAGTGCTAAAAAGTTTGTTTCAATGGAACATCCTGCAGTCCCAAATGGGGTAAACTTATCTTGTTTTTCATCTGCTGTCATGGTTAACTGGCAACTTCCAGGTACAAGGTGACTGTCTGGCATCTCAGGTGCACACATGAAGGCAATTTCAGAAAGAATGCCTATGGATTACAGACCATTCAGCTGAGTTTTATCTGGGGCTTTCTGGCACGGAATATGTACCAGCATCTTAGATCAATTCTGGCACATTATTTTAAAAGTTTTTTGTTCCTGAGTTCCTTGGTACCTGATCATTCCAATATTTTCTGCCTTACAAAGTCACAGGAAAACAGGTTTGGAGCTGAGTATTTTCAATCACCACTGACTTGGTGACAGACACTAAACTCATTTCACTTAGGATTATAGGTTGAACTCAAATTGGGATCCCTGAAGAGAAAGACCAGTCCTTTATCCAGTACCTTAAGGAAAACATTTCTTATTTCCATTAACAACCAGAAAAGGAAAGACAGTGCAACAGCTGGAAGAGCACTGCAAATATCAGGGTTACAAAGAGTAACCCAGAAACCTTTAAAATAATTTAAAGTGGTGATAAAACCAGTAACACACTGCACTTCTATTAATGCAGTAATCCTTAACCCTTGAACCTAACTTGTACTTACACTAAGAAGTCAGAAGAACTGTTTTTACTTGATCTACCAAGGCAATTTCCCATAGTTTGATTGGAAATAGTGCTGATGATTTTCTCATTTAAGTTATCTACAAAGCACTAAAAAAAAGTGACTCTGCTGGAATTATCCTTCTAAGAAAATAAGAAAAAAATAGAAATTTCTTACAACTAAGAAATGGATCAAGATAACATTGGTCTGTGAGATTTAAATCTATCAAAATATGTGAGCATACCACAGATATGATTTCTTCAGTTCTCTGCAAGGTAACCAAAGCAATTCCAAGAAGTCTTATTTTATTAGAACTCAAATTTATTAAGTATGACCTATCTAAGATCATAGTGGGCAGACAACTACCTTGGACGTGGGGTTAAGAGAAGATAAAATTCAAAAGTTTGAAAGTAAGTAAAGGATAAGCAAGATTCTTTGAATGATCAACAGCACTCCACAGGCACACAGAGACACAAAAACAGCTAAAAAGGCAAGGACAAAATTAAACAGTAATGATGATTTATAGTAAGATACTCTGAGACATGATAGAAGTCTCAGTACACCAAAAGGAAAATCTTGTTTGCTCAAATTATTTGTTTCTTCTGTCTAATGAATGTAATTCTAATATACAAGTGATAACACTGGCATTTCTTTGAAATGTTGATTCAGTTTAATTATGAAAATCACCAAGGTATTTTCTAGCTGCTGCATCACTCCCTGTACTAAGATTAATCACATCAACATCATTCATTTAATCTTCAAAGAGGAAGCAGTTGTCCACAAAAGCCTTCAAATAGCTTCATTAGTGCAATTTTTCAGTCTCAAACACTTAGCTAGCAGCATATGATTGAGAGTAAGGTCATTATATTCATCTATTTCCTAATCTAATTTTTGTAATGTTTCTACATTTAATGTAGGAATGTGTAAGTGTGGAGTTTTTGCCTTCTCTTTGTTTGTAAAACAGCTCAAAACATGA
Source organism: Homo sapiens (assembly GCF_000001405.40). Taxonomy (NCBI): domain Eukaryota; kingdom Metazoa; phylum Chordata; class Mammalia; order Primates; family Hominidae; genus Homo; species Homo sapiens. The sequence continues at coordinate 78,582,472 of NC_000013.11, forward strand.
AGAAAATAATGATTCTAATTATAAAATATTTGATTGCTATGGTTTTAAGTCATGAAATTTAATGTACAGGCCCATGGCCAGTTCATTTTTTCTTTTTTCTTTTTTTAATGTGAAAAGAATTTAGTGTAGAAATGCTCTATTTTCTTGTCTCTTGTAGACAAAGAAAAACTTAGCGCATGAGAGACGTGTCTGACTTCAGAAACTGGAATTACAAAAGTCACTGCAAATAAAATTTCTTTGGTGTTTTAAAATGCAAGATGAATTCTATATTTAAAAACAGAAGCCTCACTTATGTTTCTCTAATAAGACCCATTCTTAACATCCTTTTCTTTGATGAAAGCATTAATATTCCCTTTCCTTATTGGAAACCAACAGGTATCAGAGTCCCACAAAATAACACTGTATTGTTGATGCACCGATCAAATCATTCTTTTAATCATTAAAAATTATGCAGTTGCAATCAAAAACATTCTCAGAGAGACTTAGAGCAGAGCCTGGCACCAGCAGGGTGTGGTGATATAGTCATTTGTAATTACTGTACCTACTCTGAAGGGTTATAAAATGTGTCAGAAAGTAAAATTTGCTGAGCCCCATTACCAAGAAGCAAAACTTACTAACTGGTGCTTTAAACTTTGCATCTTATAAAGGAATGATTTATTTGACTTTTGACTGGTCCACTTGCAGAAATCATTACATTGCAATATTCAGTGACTGTGCAAAGGGGAAAAAAAGGATAAATCATACAGAGACATTCTCAAGTTAACATCTGGCGAGCATATAAGGCCAAATCTGTAAGGCAAGATCTGCCTACGATGGCATAAATAATGGTGTGTATTTGCAGTTTAGGCCAAGGGATAAGGGCTTTTGATCATAAAAATAGTTCATAACCAATTGCAATGAGATGATGCAATTGTAAAAATTTTGTTTCCACAAACTGTATAAAGACAATTATGATATTTTAAATATTAACCCCTTTTAAATTGTTTTCAAATAAAATTATAACGGCTTTTTGTAAAACCAAATTCTAATTGACCCAATCAAATTTTAAGATAAATTATGAAGGTGAGAATAACACCAGCTTGAAAATATCAGTTTGCCATTTGTCCAGCTACATGCAAAGTCACCAGAATAAAATGGAATTATATGAAAGAGGAGCAATAAACTGCATTATTTACATGTGTTCAATATTATAATCAGAGGTAAAAAGTGTGTTTTTAAATATTTGTACACACAAAGTTTTATTATCTACTTTACATAATACTGTGTTAGACACACTGGGAAATGCAAAGATAGAAAAGATAAACTATCTTCTCCTGAGAAGCCTTTACTATGGTAGAAAAGATAGGAGCACATGTCATTACAATAAGAGGAAATGTGAGATAAGTGACCAAAGAGGATTTTTGTCTTAAAAAATCCTAAGTTTTTATCTAAGAGTTTACAAGTAGATTCTTCTGAGCCAGAACACCATGGAAGGTTTCCTGGCATGATGACATATGAGATTCAAGGAATGGGTATTATGTTCAAAGCTCAAGACTGGGGAGAGAAGATTACATTTTACAGTTTAAAATATTTTATTTACCTTTCCCAACACTTATGCATTTGTATCTTCTGCAGCGAATGATAAAATTTCTTTTGTTTTCAGAAGTGTCAAGATAATTTTTTATTAAAATAAACAAATAAATTCGAGAAGACTCAGTACTCATTCCAGTTGGCATTTTTGAAAGTCTAAAATACCCATTTTAATGGTTAACGCCAAACATCAAATCCATATAATCCCTGAGCAAGTGTACTTAATCATATTCTAAAAAAAGATATGTCTCCTTTTCAAATAACAGAACAAGTTTATTTCTATTTACGTATATCTGGCTGGAAACAAAAATGATCATAATTTAGAGAAAATGTTTAAAACTCTGAAGCATGAAGTTTTGTGGAGCTTGTATTGTTTCTCTCTCCCTCCCTCCCTCTCTCTCTCTTTCTCCATATATATACATATAATTCTTTCTTCAATATCTGCCTTGGGTTAGAAGTAGAAGTTTGGTGGTAAAGGTGAATCCCATCAAAAGACCCGTAGTAATACAGGAATTCAAATATTATTTGTTGAAAGTAGAAAATAAAAAATATAAATTAATAGAGCTTACTGAATTCATCTAATTCATACACACTTCTAATATGCTTATGGTAATTTCAATTATCATCTTAAAAGAACCCACCTTGCAGTACCAGATAATATTGGGAAATCAACAAACTAAAATAGTCTTAGGAATAGTGAATGTATATTCCTGTTTGCAAGCATATAAAGGATAAATACAGACACCTTGACAAAATATGAAGAGTTCAGGAAACAGAAATGATCTTATACAAACTAATGTCTAACCTGGGTCCTATTCTGAGCCTCTCAAATGTGTCTTGCTAATATAAGAACATGCATTGGCTCTTTTAACTCTGAGAGTAACTGAGAAGCCTCCTTCACAGAACTCTAAGGAGCTTAGAATCACCTTTCTGACCATCTTTTCTGCTTCTATATATCCTCATAAAATATTTACTGTTCTTCTGAATGACCACTCTGATTATCCTTAGACTCCTTTCAGATTCCCTGATGATGTCATGGAAATGTTAAACCCATTATGCTAAGTTAGGACCTCCATCTGCAGTGACCTCTTGGCACCCGCTTCGAGGACAGCATGATATTTTTACATAAAAGTTAGTCTTCATTCAAATCCTCGAGGCCTGATCCTGAAAAAACACTGACAGCTCAATCAACCCTAATAAATACTTAACTAGGTCCATGAAAAATAATAATAATACAGTTTCCAAAAAAATCCATTACACATTTACAATTGAGTCATAAAAATGTCTATTAAATGTACAATTATTTTACCACATTTTTATTGGAAAATAACATTTATCCTAATTTACAGGTTTAACCCAAAGGTGGTACATGACATTCCTTTTCATTAAGCTATTGGAGGAGTGATGAGTGACGGTGCCCAGCTCTAATTATCTTTAACATAGTGTTTCAAATTGATCATGCATAATGCAATTACAAATCATAATTAAATTAATTTATATTGATTTAAGATTTTATAAGTTGTTAATTACAGTACAGTATATCTATTTCCACAAGCTAACAATATTTTCAAACTGCCAAAGCATTTCCTTCTTTTCCAATTTCATTCTCAATTAAAAAGTTCACAAATTTATACCTACTTTATGTGGGTAAGGGCTAACTTCAAAACTGTAAAGGCAATGTTGAGTATTTATAGAAGTTTTCTCCAAGAAATGATGTCGTATACATTTGTACATTTAGGATCATCTGAATTTAAAAATACATCTATCTCAGAAACACTTTGACCTGCTCCATCTGCTAACCACTCTGTTTGCCATACCTGCCTTCACAGCTTGCTAGTATTGTCCATGCACATAGTACTAGTTTCTCAATACGTGTTCTGATTGAGTGACTGACTCGGGAAAACCAAAGGAAACCAATGTAAATGCAAAAGTCCTTTCCTGCAACTGATGGTTGCAGAAGAATCTGGAAGCCAAGGGGAAGCCCAAGCGAACGTTGTCCTGGCAAGAAAGCCTGGGGAGTTGGACTTGTCCACATACTTCCCTTCTCTTCTCACCCAATCACATTCGAGAAATAAAATTCCTTCAGAAATCTCTACATCAGAAGGCAAAGTGGACAATCAACGAGTGGATAATCCACACAATCCAAGAACATTTCCTTTCTCTTGTTTCTCTCTAGAACTAAAGGAGAGGTGGAAGAAAGGAGGGGTGTGAGAAAGGGAGCAGGATGGATTGACTCTGAAAGCCCCATCACTGTTTTTGCGACAGAAACAAATATTAGACAAATGTGTCAATTCACTCTGACCGGTTTTTTTCACATACTAAAGAATTATTCCTTCACCTTCTCATACCTGAACTATACATCCAGTCAGATTTGTGGCATGACCCACAGAAACATAACCTGGTCCTTCCACTCTCCACAAGCCTTGGAACTGGGGTTAGGGTTATGTGGATTGTTGCTCTCAGGCGGCTGAGCCTAGAATTGAGGATTCTTCCCGCCCGGCCACGGTGCCTTTCTCTGAATGTGTTAAATGCCTTAAGGTCCTACGAAGGGAAAATGAAAATTTGAAGTAATTAAATTTAGGAGGGCAGGCTTGGAAATGGAAGTGACATGTTTATGAGAAAGGTACAGGAATGGTTATTATAAGGTATAGTTTCCCGGAACCCAGCATCCTCCCTGTAAGGACTGGTCACTAACACTATGGGCGTGCACGCTCTAAGCAAGTAGAGGCAGGAAGTCTGCGAAAAGCCCCAGACAGCCACTGCAGTGCCAAGTGTGCTGCTCACTAGCGACCCCTCTAGGTCTTAGAGAGAAGAGAGCTCATGCAGAAGAGTACTCGGGACCATTGCCGGGACGAGAAGCCCATCAGGCTGACTGCTCCATTAGGGAGCATCGCAAGCTCGGGGTGCGAAAGCTTCCCCGCCGCCAACCAGCCAGCCCTGCCCTGTGTAGACGGGTCGCCAGAGCGCGGCGCAGGGATCGAGCTCCGAGTAGCCCAAACGGGGAGGCTCAGAAATGCACGGGGAGAGCACTCCCCTAATCATAAGACAGGAAAAAAAAAGAAAGAAAGAAAAGAAAGAAAGAAAAGAAAAAGAAAGAAAGAAAGAAAGAAAGAAAGAAAGAAAGAAAGAAAGAAAGAAAGAAAGGAAAGAAGGAAGGAAGGAAGGAAGGAAGGAAGGAAGGAAGGAAGGAAGGAAGGAAAGAAAGAAAGAAAGAAAGAAAAGAAAGAAACTCGAGGTCTCGGGGATCCCAAGCGTGAAATGAATGGGAGAGAAAGGTCTGAGGAAAAACATGCGAACACCGAAACTCAACTGGAACCTGCGCGGGACTTCAAGGAGCAGAAAATCCAGCGCAGAGCTAGGGCGGAGGCAGCGGGGGGTCAGAGACCCTCCCTGTTTATTGATCACCTTTGGCATGAAATATCTTGTATATGGGTTCGGACCATCGCGAAGGTTTCAGACACAAACAAGCTACAGCAACACTTTCTCTACGCATCCCCTAGTTATTGAATAGCACACACACACACGCACACACACACACACAAACGCGCATCCCTGAGCAAGAAGGCAAAAAAGAATCCAAAACTTGAGCAGGTCGCCAGGCCCTTTTCCTCTCTCAGCCAAAGTATGCCCAGTCTACATCCCCGCCCCACCACCCCAGCCACGCGGGCGGGACTGCGTCCATAGGACGCACCTCGCAGATACTGCAGCCTCCCTCCAGTTGTTCCAGCTTCCCGAGGCCCCAGTTGTTTCAGTCCCATCGCCAACTGGCAAAAGCAGTTTTCTAGTCTGCCTTCTGAAGACGTCTCTTTTTATCCAAGTACTTTTGCCATAATATATGGGTAGTGTCTCACTTTCCCCAACTCTACAATGGACTCGAATAGACTGTTTTGTCTTTCGCCAAAGATTTGAGAAAGATTCTTGAGCTGTGGAGAGATTTTTGCACTAAAAAGATTCTTGAAGGAGAAGGAGTAGGAGAGAAGCAATAGAATATTTTCAAGCAATATCCAAACAGGCTTCTAGACTGGAGAATAAAATTAATTCAATAAAATATAACACATTTTTTTCCTTAACTAATAATACTCAGAGATGGTGATATGGATTTCATTAGACTTGAGTTACAGTTTGGTTGTAGACTCAAGACTGCATGAATTCTGTGTGTGCTGTTCCTGGGATTGGGCTGAAGCCTTACCCTCCAGGAATTAGAATATTTTCGGGGCAAGGTTGGAGAATCCATTAATAGAAGAATTATTTTTTTTAAAAAAAACTCTTGTTTTAATAAAGTCTTGCATTTGAGGCTAAATTTTAGTATTTGTCTGAGAAAAGTGGGTGGGTTCGGTTGTGTGTGTGTGTGTGTGTGTGTGTGTGTGTGTGTTTTCCTTTTGGCATTGGTATGTGTGATTTGCAGTCCAGGTTGTTAAGTTTCCAAGCAGGAACCAGTTAAAAATGCATGGATCCTATTATATGTACAATTTAATCACAAGGTATTTAAAATAGACATTTCCATCTAAAATCCAATCTGAAATCAACACAGTTCCTCCAGGCATTAGACGTTCATCTCGATTTTGCATTTGTAAACTGGGAGAAATAAATGTGACTTGTGGATACCAAGAGGTCAAGTACGGCTGCTCAAATATTTTTCTTACAAAATGACGGATTTATTAGACAAATAAGTAGCCCGGCTGATGCAAAACCCCCAGTGATTGAATTTTGACGTTAAGTCAACAACAACTCGAACTACATCAGTGGTTCAAGATTTAGTTATGATGGTAGAGATTACTGAACAAATAAGAGCCAGAAATGAATACAGATTTCTGAGGATCTGCCCCTGGCACCCTCTTCTTGACATTCTCCTCCATATGCTCCCCCTATTCATACTGTATTATAATTAAAGGACTTAGCTATGCCTTGCGATTGGAAAGGAACTTTAAAATAATTAGGCATATTTTCCTGTTTTTTTTTTTTTTTTTTTTTTTTTTTAAAGAGCAGGCTCAAGGAGAAAACCAGTTGAGTTTCATAATAAATTCCTTCTTGGCCTGAAAGTCACCCACCATTAGAAGGGAGGTAGCATTCAGTGGGTGTTTTTCTTTCTCTCTCCCTTTTTCAGGTTTTATTTTCATTAAGAATTTTGATAACCTGCTCTTTCTCTACCCCAGCCCCCACCATGCCCCCATGCCTCTTCCTCACTTTCCTATGAAACATCACTTTCTAAAATATTTGAGGACTTAGGCTTTATTTAGTATCCCACAGAAGATCAGAATCCACTGCTAAATAATTAAATCGCCGGTAGATTTTTAGGAGTATTTAGGTTTCACCTCTCCTGGGTCAATAGCTGCTCTCCCGCCCGCTCTCCCCTTGACCCTCCCTGGAGCTGGCCGCGGTGCTGAAAACCTTGCGTGACTCTTGTGAAAAGGGAGGGCACCACTAATGGAGGATTTGGAGGAGTTACTTATCTTTGCTCTTCATGAAAGGAAGCTTAAATAATTGAGACTACATTTAAACATAAAGCAGTTCATTTCTCATCTTTTCATGGAGAAAGGGACTGATCTGCTCCTAGTGTGAAAATCTGCCTTTTATTTATTCTATGTGTAACTTCCTTATTGTAGTGGAATAGTGACTCAATTTTCATTTGACTCTTGTGGAGCCAGCCAAGAATCCATTCCTTACACCTTCTTCTCTTATTCTGTGATTTTTCAGTTATAGTTTGGTTCCCTCTAGTTCATGGAACTGCTTATTTTGCAGGGACAAATCTATATTTCATTTTAAGAATTCATCTGATCAAGGGCTTGAAACAATTTCTCTTTGCAGATAGAAATTTGTTCTTTGGGTATCCAGGCACAAACCGCTAGAGGCAATAAAGTGGTGCCAGATTTTTATCCTAGATTTTATTTAAATACAATAATAATCCCACTCTGTAAAATAAGTTGTCCATCCAAGCTTCTCTCCCAGTTTGCCATATATCTCTCCCATGTATGCATGTACTGCTAATTTGTACAAATGTTTTACTTGTGCTGGGTTCTAAATCATCTATTGCTTTGGTTGCTCTCCTGATAAATAAACCTGGACATCCAAAATTACTAACCATCTAATAGTAACAGAATTCACTAAGTAGAACGAAATGTTTCATAATTATTTTGCCACTACCCACAATTAAATAATAAATTGTGAAAATGAAGCTCTTCTATTAGGGAGGGGGATGTCGTTCTCTTTTCTTCTTCCTTTTAAAATACTGAGTAGTATCTTCAGTCTAACAATACATCTGTTTACAGTTTGCCTGAACTTGTTTCTGAATTTATATTTCAATATGCTCTTTAGGATGCAAAATTCCTGTCAAATTAAAGAGTGCTCATGTCTTGCCCGCTTCTAGCAAATCACTTGCAGCACCTAATAAATCCAGCTGGGGTTCCTTCCATGGCCTGATGCTGCTGAAATCATTATTGTCCTGCCTTGTTTCATGTCAGAGGCCTCTTCGCCTCATCTGTCATGAAACCAATTTCACTTTATTTACATCCATTTGCTAGTTTAATTACTGTGCTGATGAATAGCCTGAAGGAATTAAGTTATGAGTCTTTGGAAACCCAAAGCGACAGATATATGGGCTACCTTTTAACTACAGGGAAAGAAATGAAGGCTAATGGCATGCACCAAAATTTAAAGATAATAAGTGTTTCTCCCTACCTGCTACTGTTGAAATTCAGGATGATTCTTTCTTCATGTATTCATCATCTCCTGGATGAAATATAGTGCTTTAGAATCTGTCATATTTACAGATTGACTTTTAGAATCTGTCATATTTACAGATTGACTACAGTTCTCTACAACACAATTTTCTATTTTTAAAATCTTTTTTTTTTTTTTTTTTTTTTACTAAAAGAGTCACAGATAATTTACTAGCCAAAAGCAGTGGTGTTTTTAATTAAAAACACCTCTCAATATTAACCTGTCCCTGTAACTGAGCACTTACTTCTATATAAAGACAGACAGGTTCCCTTGTGAAAATAAAGAATATTTAATACCTCCCATCTAATACATAGTACAAAGTACTCCACTTTTATACTGTAAATATTGTAATAGATCGCACTATATAATTTTTGTTTCTTATTGAGTACAATTTCACAGTTATCTTTTTTCAAGTAATCTTGCACTTTCTAACACAATTATCTTCTTTAATGTATTTTTGAATCATAAAAACATTCTGCTGCCTGTCTCTTTTACATATCCAATACAATAGAGCACTATCAGTCTTTGTTAATGACACAGGGCGTATGGGGTGAGTGAATAATCTGTGTTCTCAATATATATAAGTAGTCAACATTTACATATGTATTTTTTAAATCTAAGGTCAATAAACTTTTCAATAATTCTATTATCTTACAAATTAACTACTGCAGTGTAAGCCTACTAATTATGACAATATTAAAAAGTCATTTTCAAGGGTATTCTTTCTTAAATGCTATCAATAATTATAGATTTTTAAACTTAAAAAGTATTCTTGTGGCCCATCATCACTTACTGCCAATTATAACAATAAGTAAATATGCTTGAATTGACTTTTTATTTTATATTTTCTCTATCCTCAGGTAGCATTGCACATGAAAAGAATGTAACTTTTAAATCCAAGAACCTATATGTTTTCCTTTCATTGCTCTGTTTCTGATATAGGTCTGATATTTTAAAATCTGTACTTCCACTTGATTTCTCTAAAAAGAATTAGTTTAAGACACATGACAAATATGGTCATTATTTCAAGAAAGAATTCAAATATTTTTCTTACACACTTAGTATACTTACTCATTCATGCCCTCTCCATGCTGAGTATATAATTACATCTAATATTGTGCAAACTTTCTAAACTAGTTATTTAACTGAAAACAATTTTAAACACTCAAAGGCAAGAGATATTACTAAACAACAAAGAAATGAAAAAGATGGAACTTTTAATGTTTTCTCATTTCTTCTCCTTCTAAAAAAATTAAGTACTATTTTCTATCCTGTATATTTTGCAGTTTCATTTATCAAAAAGCCAGCCTAAAGGAAGAAACAAAAATCTTAACACATTACATTTACTCTCAGAAGAACTAAAAAAAGTGAAAACTCTACTGTCCATGCAAATATATATTAATAATTATATATTCATTACAAATCCCCCAGGCACCTCCCTCCATGACCTTCTTACATCCCCTAAACATACAATTTCCGTATTCTCCTCCCACTACTTTTAATAAAGCACATTTACCAAACAATGTACATAACAAAAATAACTTTTGTGCCATCAGAGTCTTGCCTATAGAAGTTTTGCAATAAAGCAAACCCAAATAAGACCTTTCAGGTAAAATATCCATCTATTTCAGTAGAACCAAATGCTATGCTAATTACTTAGTAGACATTTATGAACAGTCTTTAACTCGACAGCAAAGAAATTTTATTGATGGAGCCTTCTTTAGATATTTTTATTCATTTTTTATTTAAAAAATGAAGACATGTGAGTTTTAAATGCTTTTTCTTTTCCCCTCCTCCTCCCCCATCTCTCTCATTCTCCCCCCTTCTGAAGACCCTCTCTTTCCTCTCCAGCTCTTTTTGATTAATAGATCCATGTGGCTAACGGCCTGACATATGGTGTGCGAAGCAGCTTGAGATAGTACCTTAGGCATCCCCTACGGCCATTAACATATTAGGGGCTTATGTGCAGTCAGACAGTCAGACCTCATCGAGAGCCAGCATTTTCAGAAAGGCTGAACCCCAGAGCTGTTTGATAGAGAGTTTCAATAATGCACCACTCTTCAATTTTAAGGGAGTTGCTTCTGGTGCTGAAACACTGGGACAGAACCAGAATAAAGTTTAGCAATAAGACTCAGTTACATTCAACAGCAACAGTAAAAAATGCGCTTACATCTGTTTGTATATGGATATGCACGTGGAGGCACAGCTTCAAGCTCACAAACATACACCAGCTCCTGAGTATTATCAGTAAACAGGCAATGTCAGCTGCCTGGATTTATTTTGTTTAAAGATTTATTTTGCTTAAAGTCTTCTTTATACCCAGAATACTAGCATTGCAGTAACAGTTCAGTTACTGATAGAGGAGATTTAAAAAGCAAAAACAAAACGCAGCATCATATTTAGAAAGACACTGCTCTGAATCATGTAGTTTGATTTTTTCTCTAGTAGAAGAAATTAGGTGCATTTTTACATCTGTCGTAGCCTCAAAACAAGAAAAACAGGAAGAAAGTAATGAAAATTTAACGTTAAAGAATGTGATCGTGCTTTAAATGCATTTACAGGTCAAATCCATCGAGAGGTAATCAATCTTATTCCGCAAAATCTGAAAGTTTACAAACAAAAAGTCTTGACAACTCTGAAAGGTGGGAAAAAAAACTCTAGGATGGGGTAGGGGTGTGTGTTTGTGTGTGTGTGTGTGCGCGCGCTCGCTCACGTGTGTATTTGTATATGTATTATTTGTATATATACGTATATAAATTTGGGACGAGGGAAATGATATTCAAAATCAAAGCATATATCACACTTTAAGGTTATTTAATTCACTTTAACCTCGTAACTGAAGCTTGAAATTCGCTTTGCCCATGTTCTTCTCCTTCCAGCCTCCTGCTGATAAACCACTGTACCCCTTTTGAACTGTACTCTAGCTGTTTGCTTGGCAAATAAATGCTGTTCCGCCCTATTAAACCTTTTAGGTAGTTTCATCTTCGGATTTCTCAAATACAGGACTAATAAGGAGGTGCTTTGATGCTGTTTTACTTTCAAACTATAGCCCCAAGGCGTTAAAACGTGCAAAAGGTAACTGGAAAAGCAAATTGCCACGAGCAAGGCGCACCCTCCCTTTCAAAACCGTTCCAACCCTCTGAGTGCACTGCGTGGAAGCCGAAAATCTCCCTGTTCCTGTGCAGAACCACGTCCCGTTGGCAGCCCCTGGGGTTCTGAACCGGTGCCACAATACCAGGGGAGTGAGGAGAAAGGAGGCACTTTTAAGTTTAAAAGCCCTGGAATCCCTTGGGAGAAGGGAAAGATGGAGGTAGGGACCGGAAAGCTTTCCAAAGTTGATTCTGGGCAAACAAATATCAGGTGAAGATTAGGAACCGGCAACTTGCTTAAGCAGCCAGTATTAAAACTTTTGCATAAGGCGTGGCAGTGGTGCGCGAGAGAGCCCGCTTCTTGGCTCTAAGGCTGATTTCAAGCCTCCGGTTCAGATTACACTTTGGAAAGAAGACCCCGGCGCGCACTCCCGCGTCGAATACAATGGACTCCCTCTCCCCACAGTCAACACACACACACACACACACACACAATCCCTTAGTTTAATATAAGCAAATGAAACAATTGAAACAAATCTGTTTTATTTAAAACTGGGATGAAAGCGTCTGTCGCTCAAAGGCGTCACAGTCCGTCACATTAAGATAAATTTTCAGAAGAAACGCAAGCCCTCGGGAAATACCTCTGCCCAGAGTCAAATGGATCCTACCTGCTTTTTTAAATGCCTGCATTTCCATTGCTAACTCATACAACACATTTTACGATTGTGCAAAGTGCAGGACAGTTGAGCCCCAATGTCAGCCTCAGAGCTCCTTGTCACATTCAGCTTCTTTTTCTCTCTCTTTCTTTCAACACAACGCTATGGTGAAGTCACATAAGTGATCAAAATTAACATAAATCACTATTAGTTATTAGGATTTGCTCTAAATTACACTGTGAATATCGTACCAGCCCCATCTGCCGCCCCTGCTCTCGCAGCAATAGATTGCAGATAAAATAAATGTCCTTACCCCATTAGAAGGTTCCTGTCTCTGTAGCCAAAAGCCAAACAAAAGCAATAAATACCGGGCTTTTTCTCTCCACTATTCAGCTGTGACTCTTTTCATCAGCTCTTCTTCTAGAAAAGCTCAATAGCTGCCTGAAAATATTGCATTTTATATCACCAAAGGGCGATTAATATTGCATTAACTGTATTTAACATTTTTTAAGCGCGAGTAATCTGCAATGAGTTAGTTTTCTGTTAGTAAGGACAGGGGGTATCAGAACTACTGCAGACCACTTAAGATATCCGTACGATTGTATTATTTGTCTCACACGTAGTTATATATATATATTTAGAGTGTACCGCGATGTTTGAAGTGGAAGAGGCCGTGCTAATGGCCTGCTTAAAGTATTCTGACACTGTCTGGAGACAACCAGGTCTCTGCCTTCATTAAAATGTTTATTGTCAACATTTGGTGGGGGCGGGGAGAAGGAGAAACTGGTTTAAGTGAATTTCCACGGCTGGAAATTGACAACACTTTGTTTTATTCTAATCTATGTCTACAAAAGTTTGTATATATTATACTGCACTGAGGCCAGGCGTAAGAGTTATCAAACAAACTTTTGTTTGTAATTCCTTTTACCTGATCAATGCGAGGAGTCTCTTCCTCCACCACTCCTTTTGACAACTTTCCTTCCACGCTTTTTTTTTTCCTCAATCGGAAAGCAGCTGTCTTTCGCCAATGGGGAGGGGACTGGGACACGGGCGCTTCTTCTCTCCAGCCCTTGGTTCGCCGGAGCAGGATGCTGGTCTCAACACTAGGGCTATGTCGGCTTCTCACCGAACCGAGATTTTCAATTTCAGCTTTGCGATTCAGGATTCCACTTGAATTCCCCAGGACGAAAGCCTAGCGGCCAGGCTGCATTTCGCCCCGGGTATAAATCCCTGCCGGATAAATTCAAATCTGTAGCAGGGTTTTGGTAATATGCATCTTAGCAACAAAACAAAAACCAACCTCGTATGCCTTCCAGTTCTTTTTAAAACGTGTACGGCAGTTGTGAAAGTTTTGTGGTGCTTGAGACTGTTGACTTATGCAACTGGGGAGAGGGTTTTTTTAACCGCTTTGAGATATTGGTCCATCCCTTTTCTCTCAGAACGTCCTCAAGGGCACGTAAGAGTTGGAGGTGACCTCCGGGAGCGCCTAATTTTGAGCCGCGGAACTTCGGCCCACTTCTCCGAGGGGACCAGGCGCGCGCCAATACGCATGTGCGGGCTCTGAGCGCTCAGAGCGCGCCTCTTCCTTCCCGGCTCCCCGCGGTGCGCACCCGCTGGCCACTCTGCGCACGCGCGCCGGGTGCCCCGGCCTAAGGCCGTTGACCTCGGGTTCTCCCCGGCACAGTCGAATCCACGCCAGGGCCCTCAGGCCGGTAGCTGTCCTGCAGTCCGAGCGGAGCTGCGACCTCGGGCAGCTGGAAGCCTGTGGGCTGCTGCTTCTCCAGGCAGGCGGCGGAGGGATGCAGGCAGGATGAGCGGCGGTCCCTTCGCCGCCACCCGGAGAACCGCGGCTGGTGCCCTTGAAGGCCCTGGGATGCCTGGGTTGGGTGGGTGAGTGAACGAGAACCCTGAGTGAGTGAGGGGAGGGCGGGTCCCCTCCTGGCTTCAAATTCAACCCAATCAGCTCTGCCGATGGTTTGAAACTGCACACGCCGACCCACCCGCCCCGAAGTCTGAAAGTTATGCCCTGGAGACCTGCGAGCTGCGGAGTGCAGCTGGAGAGGGAGCTGCCCCACGAGGAGGCCTCCAGAATAACTCCCGGAGTCGGAACAGCGCTGGGCTGCTGAAGTTTGCAGCCTCCGGATCCGCGCCCCGCCCTGCAGATCCACCGGATTTCGGGGAGGGAATCGGGGGGCTGCCCGTCCTCCCGTAAAGCTGACTTGACAACAATTACGAAAGTTTTTAATTAGCTCCTTGTTATAATTCATTTTATTTCCAGAACTCTCCGACCATAAATTATTCAAAGAGTAAGCCAACCCGAGCGGGGCGGCCGCGCGCCTTCCCCACGCGCGCCGGGCTGGCTCTGGCCGCTCAGCTCACCCGATGCCCCGTGAGCCAGCCCCGCGCCAGAAGCCGCGGTGGCAGGAAGGTTTGATCAAACATTAAATAACGTAATGTTTGCGACAAGGCTTATCTCACAAGTGGAAAAGAGGACCTCGCGAGAATTAGAATTCGGCTGCTATTTTAAAAAATCAATTAAGCTTGCGGTCTTTTTTGAAACAGCTCGAAAGGACTGCGTGGCTATCATCGTGGCGCTAAGACTGAGATGGCAATAACACCGATGGCAGAACTGTACCAGTATTAATTGTCATCACCTTTATCATCCCGCTGGCCACCAAGGCCGTTCGAATGGGGTGGGAAAGGCTAGTTTTAGCCAGGATCAGAAGCCCCAGTTCCAACTTCACGGACGAAAAACTGCGAAAGCCTATCAACTTGAAAGATGAGTAGGGATACTTCACGCAGGTGCCAGGTGCTATCAGGAGAGGCCGGGGCGGCGGGGCAGAGGCAGAGGGCAGGGATCGCTGAGTGAGTCCTGCGGGCTTGGGGCGCCCTGTTCTCTCACGTGCGCTGCCACGTGTAGGAGGAACTGGACCGAAGTAGTCTCAGTATCACAAGAAAACAAAAATCGATACAATCACGGCAGTGGGTGCCTACAGTTTATTTATGAAACTGTAATCGAAGTTGAGAGCAATTTCAGAACACGCATTAAACAAAAATTATTCAGAAGTTAGTTGATGGGTCTTGAGGACATAATTTTTTTAGACCTACAGAAGGAACACGACCTGGAGCTAGAACTGGGGAAAAGAGGAAATTTAAGACAAATGGATGGCATAAATGTGGCAGATGCTTTAATGCTTATTTGTCTTTTGCTTTTCCTATTCCACCCCCGCCGCCGCCTGGATTTCCTGAGAAGCTGAAATGCAAACGGAGCCCAATTTTCCCACTCTCTCAAACTTATTTTGAGATTATTCTTTAAAAGAATCCGAGACACACATTTTATCATATTCACCCCAAAACTGGTGGAGGAATCCGCTTAGAGTGAACTTCTCTTCAGAACTAGAAAACTTTGAAAGGCCAAACTATCACTCATTGACACCCACTTCAATGATAGTTTGGCCTCTTCAGGAGGTCCCTTTTTGTTTTTTTTTCATGGATTGACAGTTAAAGGCGTCTTAGAATAGTCTTACTACTCCTTCAAGCCATATATAGATTCGCTTACCAGAAAGCAAAGCATTTTTTTTTGTTTTGCACAGTTTCCTACTACATAAAATAGGAAATTCATTTTCATGATGTTTTATTAACATAATACTCTTATTTTTATGTGGTAAAGGTTTTATTTAAAGCAAATTCTTAAATTCTTAATACCTACATTGATCATTATTATATAATACACATGTGTTTGCCTGCAACATTTCTGCTTGAGGCAGACTTTAAAAAAAACCCTTTGTAAATCTTTTCATTTGTTCTGTCCTGTTTTTCCAACAATGAAATCCAGTCATACTTTTCTATAAAATAACGGTTTTTTTACAAATGCATTTTATTTAAAACTGATGATGTTTCAAGTCAATAACAGCAAAAACAAATCAACTTTTTATGGAAGAGTTCTATGTTTAAAAATACCTCTAGTGCTTTTTTTTTTTAACATTAACAACTGTTTAAAATCGCAGCTTTTAAAATGTACTATTCTTTTTGAACATCAAGTGTTTTCCTTCACAGATTTGCCGGTGAAATTAAAAAGATTTGGCTAAAATAAGATGACTTCAGATGATATAATCTCAACTCTTAAGAAACTTTGTACATTTGGCATCTGATCTAGTCCCAAGTCACCAAGAAATAGAGGCTCTCTAGTCACTGTGGAGCAGTAGGTGGCACACTAAATGTTTTAAAATGTATTACCCTCCAAAGAAAAGCCATTCAGTTACTAGGTGTTTTTAGGGTAGAATATCACATCTAAACCTCCAAATTCCTCTGTCCCTGACCCTAAATTTAAATGTTTTTTGGGTGCCTGGTTATTTATTGGTTTTCACCACTCTGGATCAAGTGCTGTGGTTTAAGAGTTTCTGCAGTTAAAAAATAATAACTTTTATAAACACAGGCAACTAATATAGAATTCATTTTATTTAGAGCACCACTTTTCATGAGTTATCTGAAAGTGAATTCTGATTCAGCAAAAAAATACATCATTCTCAATCTCTCCCCTTTTTGTCCCCCTTCAACACCCTACCCTCCCCCCATTTCTTTGTGTTTTCTTTTTGTTTGGTTGTTTGTTGAAAGGTTCTACCAGGACCTGGCCCAGTATAAACACAAAAACGCACCCAAATCATAAAACTGCTCTTCTTTCAGTTATGTTTTATTTGTAAGTGTACTGGGACACATCCCCCTGTTGTATTTTGGCGCATAGAATTGGTTCTGATAGAAGTAAGGGAGGAGAAAGGTAAAAGAGAAAAAACATAACCAAGGAGAAAGCTCAGCAGACATACATGGACAGGTAGATCAATCCGTGAGACATTTCAGGATGAACACTGGCAGTCTGTTACCACTGTGTGAATGTGTGCATTAAATAAAATATTTACAATAATCTTTTTTCCTTTTTCTTTGAATACAAGAATATGACAAAAATGTTTTCAGTGGAAACAGGCAGTAGACTGTGAAATCGCACTAGCCACAAAACGGTCTACCAGAAAGCTAGCCCAGTTTAGTGCTCAGTTTCAAATGCATAGAATGTTTGCCCTGCAAACAATGATATACAACATAATTAAATAAATAATGCCTAACCAGAGTGAGACCTAATTGTGTTTCTTTCCACACCTTTCAGATCATGCATGATTTCAGTCTTGTTAATCGGCAGGTTTTTTTTCTTTTCTCATTTGTTCTGTTTTCAATGTTTTAGTTATGATTAAAGGATGGTAACAAACCATCTCTACGAGAGATCCAAAGAGTATCTTGTACACAAAGCAGGCATTTTACCTAACCACCTTCAACTATCTTAATTTTTTAAAATCCACCAGCAGCTTGTAAGGTACCTGATTATTACTATGAAATACTATACATGATTTTCTATTTGGGAGACTGGTAGTGCAAATTAAAGTTCTTGCTACCCAACATTTATCCCCTGTAATAAATGACTCTTGAATAATAAGAACAAGTAAAAGGAAACACAGTTGTTCTGTTTTCGCCCAACATGCAGACCTCTTTGAAACAAATGGGGGTGGGGGCACTTTAAATCTGTCTTCCTCTTTTCTGGGATTTAGGTGATTTTCTCACAGCCAAGTCCTACCGCAAAAGAAAGCAGGAACTTCTCAACATTTCTATAATTTCATGTCCTCCAAGAGAGGAAGAAACGGGACCTAGAAGAGCAAGATGAGTCTCGTTCAGTGGAGAAAACAGGAGAGAGTATCTCTCCTAATAACTTTCACCCCATTAGTCTATTTGAATCAACAGGAAAAATCAGTAGTTTAAACCTCTCTCTAAAAAAAAGATAAAACTGAAAGGGCAAGTTAAAGTTCTATGAGTGGGAAAAGCTTATTTTGAAATTGTCTAAAACTAGATCTTCGACATAAGAGGAAAAAAAACTGTTGTTAAAATTGTTTCATTTTCCTAGAATAAGATATCTCGAAGCTCCGGAATTCTGCTTTTTAGTAGCTCAAAGACTATGCCCTTCTCTCCAAAGACCCCCACCCCAACAGGACCAGGCCACCAGAGTATAGGCAGGGCCACGGGAAAACTTGGATTCCACCTAAGCAAGCAGCCAGCCTCCCCCTGACCCTCTCTTTTCAGCTGTGCTCCCACTCACTTCCCGGGATTGGAGAGCAGCCATAGGCCTCTCATTGGAACGGAGGAAATAAAGAGGATATGGATGGGGTGGAGGTGAGAGAGGGAAAAATTAAACACGCAGACAGAACAACTAGCTTTGATACCCAGAACTTCAACTTCTCGCTCGTTTGGTTTTCGTTTTTCGACTCAGTTCGTGCGTGTAGGGTTGGGGAGGTGGTAATAATGGTGGTGCTCTTTTTTCTCTTCTATGGGGGAAAATGAAGTTGCAGATTATGGCTCCCCGGAGTTAAAATTTCTAAAGCATTTTCCTTTGCTTTTGTTCTGTTTTGTTTTAGTTTGTCTTTATTTGTCTAGTTTTTGGTGGTTGGTAGGTTTGTTTTTGTACATAGTTCCTTGGTCCCCAGGATATTTAGGTAAGTGTCTCTGGTCAGAAACAGTCCATTTTCCTACCCTTCCCGCGTCTCCCCCCACCCAAACCCCAGAACCATCCTGCTCCTTAAAACCCCTGCTCGGGTCTCCGCTTTCCTTCCCCCCACTCCCCACTCCCCCGAATGCTCCCCCCCTTCTCCCCTACCCTATACTCCAATCCCCACACCCAGCACCCCAGTCCTCAAGGCTAGGGGACAGCAAAGGCAGGAAAATCAGAGAATGGGTGGAGGAAAGAGAGCGAGAAGGGACTCCCCAAATGCAGGCAGGATAACGGACACTCCAAATCCGAGGGGAGGCAAGCAGAGGAAAGCCCCCCAAAAATGCCTCCTCAGCTCCCCATTCTGTCCCGCCCGACACCTCCCAGCCCCCTCAGTAAGTGGCAGAGAATTTCATCCGCTTCTGCTTCTGTCTCTGGTTGCAAAACCACACCCGCACCACGTTCTTTTTGAGGTCCAGTTTCTCGGCGATGGCGGCGATCTTCTCGGACGAGGGCCGGGGCTGCACGGCGAAGTAGGCCTCGAGGGAGCGCTTCTCGGGCGCGGCGATGGAAGTCCGCTTGCGCTTCTTCTCGCCGCCGTTGAAGAGCTCAGGCTTGTTCATTTTCTCGCGCTGGGCGCCCTCGGCCTCCTCGAGCCACGCCTGCAGGATGGGCTTGAGCGCGATCATGTTGTTGTGCGAGAGCGTGAGCGACTCGAACCTGCAGATGGTGCTCTGGCTGAGTGAGCCCACGCCCGGGATCTTGAGGTTGGCCAGCGCCGAGCCCACGTCGGCCTGCGTCACGCCCAGCTTGATGCGCCGCTGCTTGAAGCGCTCCGCGAACGCCTCGAGCTCGCGCGGGTCCGTGTCCGAGTCGCAGATGGACGCCAGGCCCGCTGCGCCCACCACGGCCGCCGCCGCCGATGCCGCTGCCACCTGCCCGGCCGCCGCCGCCGCCGCTGCCGCTGCCGCGCCGTGGTGCGCCGCCGCCGCCACCAGCCCGGGGTGCGGCAGCCCGGACGGCATGTTCATGGCGGCCGCCGCCGCGGGGTGCGACAGGTGGCCCAGGCTGTGCATATGCGGGTGAGGGTGCGCGGAGCCGCCCAGGAGCCCGCCGCCCGGGCCGCCGCCGCCGCCCCCCGGGCCGCCACCGCCGCCTCCCCCGGGGCCGCCGCCCGGGCCGCCGCCGCCGCCCGGGCCGCCACCGCCCCCCGGGCCGTCGTGGGCGCCGCCGCCGCCGGCCGCCGCGCCCGCGCCGCCCGCGCCGGCCATGAGCGCGAGCGACGGCGAGGAGATGTGGTCCAGCAGATCGCCGGGTTCGAGCGCCTGGTGGTGGTGGTGGTGGTGGTGGTGGTGCGCCAGAGGCACCGTGGAAGTGGACGTGCACGGCACGCTGTTCATCGTGTGGTACGTGGCGTCCGGCTTGAAAGGATGGCTCTTGCCCTGGGACACGGCGATGTCCACGGCCGCCAGCGCCTCGGCCCGCGCCAGCAGCGTCTCGTCCAGGCTGGCGAAGAGGTTGCTCTGCAGCTGCAGGCGACACAAACCAAACCAAAAAAACCACAAAACCAAAAGAGCAAAACAAAACAACAGAAGAAACACACACACAGGCCGGAAAGCACAGCATGCGAAGGGCAAACACAAAGCAACCAAAATAACAACGGGTTTGGGGGCAGTGGAGAGCGGGAAAGACGGAGAGGGGGCACATTGACGACCAGGGAGGGGGCAGACGAGAAGGGATGGGAGCGTGGAGAGGGGGACAGAAGTAGGGAGAAAGGGGGACACAAGAACACATTCCGGAAACGGGCGTGGGAGACGAAAAAGAGGGAAAAGAAGAAATGGAAATGTAACTCGCAGCTGGGGACCCGTGTCACACACCCGAGCACGCACAGAGACTGCCTTTCTGAGGCGTGAAATTAACAGAGAAAGTAGAGGGAAGTCGAGAGTCCTGGCCCCAGCGCTCCCTACTCCGATCGCAGGCGCCTGACGCGGAGGCAGAGGCAGACAGGAACACGACATTAAGGGCCGCCGGACAAAACGTGCCTCGCTGCGGGACTGCTCTACACCCCCTGCCCGCAGTTCCCCGCACCGGGACCTGCACACACCAGCCCCCGACATGCAGCGTTTCGGAGACGGGGAGGGGCGGGCGCGCGGGCCGGGGCCGCGGGCGTGGGGCGCTTACCGGCGGCGTGGGCAGGCAGGCCCGCCGGATGGCCTCGGAGCTGGAGTGCAGCGACGGGTACTTGTGCTCAGGGAGGGTGGGATGCATGGCAAAGTGAGGCTGCTTGCTGTTCATGGACATCATCGTGGCGGCTTGGCATGTATATCCACAAACACTCCGAAAGTCCGCGGGAAAGTGCGTACGCCGGCTCACCCGGCCTCCCTTCGGAGGCTGCAGCCGCGGCGGTCGCGGCGGCTGGCGGCGGCCCCGCCGCGGGCTGCTGCTGCTGCTCCTGCTGCTGCCAGGCGCTCCCTCTGACCGCGCAGAGCGCCGCGCGCCGGCCTCGCGGTCCCGCTTCTCCGACAGCTCTAGCCCCGCGCGCCGACGGGATGCACTCCTCTAACACCTGAGCCCCACTTCTCGCGGCCGTCCCGGGGAGCTCTCGCGAGAGCTCGCGGCCCCACCGCGCTGACAGGCATCAGCTGTCTCCGTCTGTCTGACGCGCGCTCTCCTTCTCGGCGGCCCCGTGCGTCTGCGCGCGCGCGCGCTCGTCCGGCCGCGACCAGCGCGTGGGAGCCGCTCTTATAGTGACCACCAGCAAGGACAGCGCAGGTGATGCACCTGTAGCTACCCGGGCATGCGCACTGCCCGCCTCACCTTTCCCACCGTGGTCTGGAAAGATCAGAAGGTCCAGCTATTGTCTAAGGGTGGGCACCTTTTAGAATAAAAAAGACGAGATGCGCGCACGCCCCTCTATGTGTGTGTGTGTGTGTGTGTGTGCGTGCGTGTGTGTGTATGTGTGTATGTTTCTTCTCCCTGATAGCAAGCCTTGAATATATGAGCATTACTTAGGCATTCCTCCTCTTCGGGATGCCTAACAAGCTGTTGTATAATGTATACAGCTGGACATTTCTACGTTAAATTATGCCCGCGCATTCCTCTGTATACAGTATAAATAACAACACAGAAATGCAGAAGGTGCTGTCTTTTGCTGCAAGAACCTGTTTCTTTAAAGGTTTATAAATAGGTTCCTGGAGAATAATCGCGGTGACAGACATTTGTTTGAAGCAGTCAGACGCTATTGATTTCCATATAATTTAATTTCCTCCGCATACTTTTTTGTTGTTGTTGTGAATATAACTGTGTCAGGCACCGCCAGTGACAGCCACTTAGGAGCCACAAGGAGCGTGTGCTTTCTACTCGGGAAAAGCTGTTGAAATGAAATTGTGCATTTCTCTTATTGTTTGTCTCCTTCAACCGTGTACAAACCCACGTTTCAAACGAGCTCCGGGTGATCTAAGGCTTCTAGTAATCAAAAGGAAAAAACAGTTAACAGGGTGTAGTTGGGATCCTTCCTCCCCTCAGCGTACACACACACACACACACACACACACACACACACACACTTTATGCTGGGAACTCCAGGAAAACTGCTTCAGAGAAAAGGGAATAAGATGTTGAAAAGAGAACTTTCTTTTCCCTTCCATCTTTTTGGCTTTTTGCCTCATATCTCTGCCTGCTTATATATATTTTTTTCAATAGGAGACAGATCAAACTAACTTACAGGAAAGCTTGATTCAAAAATATTAAATCAAGCCAATTTGAAAGAACGGGGACAAGCTCTGGTCCAGTTTTTAAATTTTTAAAAAATTATTGTGAAATTAAGACCTAAAAAGAATAAATCAATTAGCCAACCTGTTATATGGCCCTTATGTGGTAGCAGATCAAGAGCCTCCCAGGGGAGCCACAGTTCAGGTGCCAAAGTCCCCAGGGAAGGAGCACTTGCTCGCGGTGATAATAACCTAACAGCCCAGATGTTATCACATCTGCGGTAAGAGAGCTGGAGAGCAGCAAGGGGCTGCTTATGGAAAGCAGAAATCAGATAATCTTTCTGTTCTCTCCCACACCAAGGAAGTCTGTATTTCCACCAAAGAGCAGATCTCATTTCTATAAACCTAAATTTGCGTTCCCGTGGATTTTATCTTTCCTCTGCA
Organism: Homo sapiens; assembly: GCF_000001405.40. Taxonomy (NCBI): domain Eukaryota; kingdom Metazoa; phylum Chordata; class Mammalia; order Primates; family Hominidae; genus Homo; species Homo sapiens. The sequence continues at coordinate 78,605,177 of NC_000013.11, forward strand.
CAAATGCATGTGTGTTTAGCATACCCACTCACCTACTCAGATTCCAAGAAGAGCCCACAGGCGTCACCATGGCTTTTTCTTTCTTTCTTTTCATGTTCCCCCCCACCCCCTCCCTTCCTTCTAGCTCCAGAGGGAAGTGAGAAGGATGTTCACTTGCTGGTGAGAGAAGGAGCTGGTTCCATCCATTACGCAGTCCCCTGGGAGCGCTAAATGCAACTTTATCTCAACGGGGAGTGGACGATGAGCAGGACGTCGCTAGAGGGAAAGAGTGAGTCCTACGGTAGTCATCACACCGGGAGTCCGGGCTTAACCTAGTCCTTCCTGACACCCCTGGTGGCCGTTCCCTGCGCTCTCTCTTGACGGGAAAGAAAAGGCCCCCACAGAGGGTGAGGGCCTGGAACCTGCCCCTCCCCTCTCAAGGAAGCGCTGGTCTTTAGGGACCCTGAAGGGTACAGGAGCAACAGAAAGGTAAACAGTACAGGTTTGCGGCCGGGTGGGGCCTCTGAGAGCCAGGTGAGCTCCTGAGTACCCAAAAGGCACCTCGGTTCACCCTCCAACCCTGGGAGGCTTCCATTAAACCCAGCGGAGAGATGCCACCTTAGCCTGAAGTTAGGAGTTAGTCCCACCAAGATTTCCTTCCCTGTTCACCTCTCTTTCGACAACAGGAATACCCCACCTTGGGGTGAGGCCAGATCTTTGCTTGGGGTATTGGGTGTTTTGATGGGACCAGAAACATGAGGGCTATGGGTACAATCCTCCCTCCCCCTCCCACCATGGATAGGAAGCCCATCTAGGATACATCCATCTTCACTATAGCACTTAGTGCAGAGTTTGTCACAGGAAAAGTACCCCACCAAAAAACACGTGTGTAGGAAGGAAGAGAGGCCAGTTTCGGGTAGCCTGGGGGAGGGGTGGTGGCCTAGGGGCTGTTCAACAATCCAGGGCTGGTTGGAGATTGCAGGAAGATCCCTGGGTGGGGGGATGGGGGGGTCTACATTCTCCTTAAAAAGGAGGGGTGTGTTTTCCCCAGGCAGAGCTGTAAATTTTTATTCCAGCCTGTTCTTTTTCAGGAGCCAATTATTTCACTCCGCCCTCATTAACTTGCTACCTTATCTTCCTTCCTCAAATTCTTGCTGAGCGGTAGTCTGGCCCAGTACAAGACACTGGAGATAAAATGAGGTATACAATATGAGTACCTGCCCTGCAGGAGGTGACAGTGTATGTGCGTGGGGAAGCCACGGATAAAAGGCATCTATGACACAGGTATAACAGGTGTGATGAGAGGGATGTGTATAGAAATATGGAGCGGGTGATGCTTGGACAGTTATCATGCCTCATCCTCGTTGGTTCTCAGCCCAGGCTAAAGAATAGGGCATGCTGGCACATCTGCAGGCAGTTCCCTGGACCATATCAAGCCTCTCCCTACTTTCCTCCTGATGCGTAAAAGGAAAAGGTGGTGGGCTTGGGCTCAGCTCACCCATATGTCACTGTTTTGTTTTCCTGGTTTGGCAACTGCTGTAACTCGTTGGCCCCTGCCTGTGCTAATGATACCCACATGGGGTCTGAGCCTTGGCATAGATTCCTGGGCAATTTTTTTTCCTTCTTATTTAATGACCAACACAGATCTCCTCCTCCTCCTCATCTCATAGCTTTGCATTTTATCAAGAGAAGGATAATGAATGCACAACTATTGATTTCCAAGGAATTTCCGCCCCCAGGGACAGGGAGTCTATCATGTGGATCAGAGACACATTTCTTTCCCTCATTAATTAATTTTCTCCTCCTCCTTTGGCAGGCCTCACTTCCCGTTTCCTTTGGCAGCGCCCTTTTCCCGACCTAAGGGAGCAGACCTTCGTTGGTTGGCGTGAGGACTGGCGGGAGAGGTTTTGTGCCAGGATCCGCACTGTCTGGGGTGAACGCTCCTCACCTTTGACCTGAACCGCCAACTTCCCATCCTCCACTTTTGGAGAGCGCGCCTGATAGCTGCTGCCCACCTGGGCACTGACATCCTCCTTCCGACCGGGTGCGGAGAAAGTTAGTATTTGACTCCGCAGCCACTACTCGCCCCACCTTCTCACCTCCGAGGGGTTGAACCCGAGTTGTCTGTTGGGGTTTAGGGACTCAGGATCGGGTCTGAGGGACTTCGACATAAGTGCGTGGCGGTAGTGGGTATACAGGGGAGGGGGGCCGGGCCCCTCGCTCCTTCTGGAAACCGGGCCCCACTTGCAGGCCCGGCCACCTTGGGTTCTGGTGGCCGAAGCCGGAGCTGTGTTTCTCGCAGACTCGGGGAGCTACATTGTGCGTAGGCAATTGTTTAGTTTGAAAGGAGGCACATTTCACCACGCAGCCAGCGCCCTGCATGCAGGAGAAGCCCCCAGGGCCCAGGGTCGGCTGGCTTTAGAGGCCACTTAGGTTGTTTTAAGCACATGTGAAAGGGCAGACAGCAGGGGAGCAGGATATGGGTAAGATCTTCGGGTCTCAGAACAGGGGCTGCCCTTGGGCTGTCCCGGCGCCCTGGGCTCTGACACTGAAGGGTGGAATGGAGGAAGGAATGGAGAAAGGACGGTGGAACTTTCGCTTCCCCTCTGGGCCGCCTTCCCAGGGTCATGCCTGAGCTGCTTTGATCCCAGTGTCGCGCATCTTGGTCCGCTACCTCCCAGGCGATAGCTACTGGGCTCCTCGCTGGCCTCACTGGGGGCCATCCCGGGCAGTGGCCTGCCCTCCGAGGCCCGCGGGACCCAGCCCAGAGCTGAGGTTGGAGTTCTCCGGGCCACGTTCCGGGTCGCTTAGGCTCGGAGATTTCCCGGAGACCGTCGTCCTCCCTTTCTGCTTGGCACTGCGGAGCTCCCTCGGCCTCTCTCCTCCTCTGGTCCCTAAGGCCCGGAGTGGTTGGCGGTACTGGGGCCCGTCGTCATCTCTGCTTCTAAGGCATTCAGACTGGGCTCCAGCTGGGACCGGCAGAGGAGGTTCTCAAGGAAACTGGTGGGAAATATAGTTTTCTTTCGTCTGGTCGTTTAATTTAAATGCAACTTCCCTTGGGGACATTTTCCTGGACGTTAACCAGACCACCTTGAGATGTCGTTGATGACCTAGAGACCCAGATGATGCGTCCCAGGAAAGTTCACTGCTGACTATTGTCACTCTTGGCGTTATATCTATAGATATAGACCTATGTACATATCTCCACCCTGATCTCTCCGTGGACATGAAACCCACCTACCTTGTGAAAGCCCTACGGGTGACACATGACTACTACGTCTCTGTCCCAACAGGGGCTGGGCCTCCCCTGCCTAATAGTTGCCAGGAGTTTCGCAGCCCAAGTGAATAATGTCTTATGGCTGAACGTGGCCAAGGACTCCTGTGATTTAGGTCCCAGGAGGAGCAGAGACGTCCCCGCCCCGCCTGGGCCCTGCCGCATTCAAAGCTGGAAGAAGGCGCTGATCAGAGAAGGGGCTTCCAGGTCCTGGGTTAGAACAACAACAAACAAACGAAACTCCACAACAGACACGCCTGCCCATGACCCCACGCAAGGACATAGGAAGTTCTGTCGCCTTCCTGCTCCGCGGATAGCCGCCTGCCGTCTGCTGCCACCAGAACGCACGGACGCTCGGGGTGGAGGTAGTCAATGGGCAGCAGGGGACCCCCAGCCCCCACAAGCGCGGCTCCGAGGACCTGGAAGCGGGTGCCTGTCGCTCTCCGCAGGCTCCGCTCTGCCTCCAGGAGCAAGATCCCCAAAAGGGTCTGGAAGCTGTGGAGAAAACCGCAAGGACGCGAGTCCAAACCCGAGAGTGCGGAGCTGGGTCCTGTCACCCGGCTCCAACGCTCGCCGGCGCCGCCGCCAGCCGCCCCTCCTTCCCGCCGCCCGCACAAATCAAAGCCCCTTGCGAGGGACTGGGAAATAGTTGCCTTGTCATGTAACACATTGCCCTGATTTATTATAAAATTTTAACGAAATCATGCATATTTTAACAGCCTTTAATCACTGCATGAAAATTTAATTCATGAACTGTAGCGCGTTTAAATAAATGAAGTGTTAATTCATTAGGATTAATTAATTTGTTAAAGGATTGTGTGCAAGGTTAAGGTGGAAAGAAAACTCTTTGTTGGTTTCGCGTCTTAATCGCCAGGTTTCACGAGTAATAATAAAATGAAAGGAAACCGCAGGGCGGGCCGTTCGGGTGGAGCTTGGGCGGGACCAGCCCGGAGCGCCCCCGAGAAAGTGGGAAAATCGGGCTGGAAGGGCTAGGGCGCGTCTGTCTTCCCGAGACTGGGGAGTGGGGGTCCGGTGGGGGCTAGAGGGGAAGGGAAGAGCGGGCACCGGCGGCGGGAATCCGAGAAGGCCGAGTTCGCTGTAATCCCAGGGACAGAAGAGGGCTCAGAGCCGAGGCTGGCGGGCCGGACCCCATCTCCCCAACCCGAACACAAAGATGACCCGGTGGGTTAGGCGAGGTCGCCCCTTCCTGCCCTCAAAAGGTCAAGTCTCGTCTTAATGGACAGATGATGGGCCAGCTCGCCACCGCCTAAACGTTCCAGCGCCCAGGGAGCCACTGTCTCGCCATCAGGCCGCCGGCTCAGGAGGTTGGGGCAAGCCCAAGAGCCTCTGGGGACTCCGAGAGGAGGCGGAGCAAAGCCAAACGTGTAAACCCAGGCTGGAGCAATCCGGGAAAACTTTTTTCAAATAGGAGCCCTGATGTTAAGGAATGGTTTCTTCAGCACCTCTTCTGAGACACAGGCTAAATAGGCGTATCCTTCAGCACAGCCCGACACACAGGAGAGGTGTCCTCTTCTGCGCAGAACTCTTATTCACCCTTCAAGACCCAGTACGAGTAACAGGTCTGTGAAGACGCCAGACTTTCTCACTGCTCCACGCTATCCCCAACAGGGGCATTTTTCTACTCACAAATAATGTAAGTATCAAAATGCATTAGAATTGCATCCTCCCACCTCCCAGTAAGTCTCAGTAAAGGGCCAAGCCATATCTCTTGGGAAAAGGATCTTTATATCCCCAAATTACAAACGTCACATAAGGCCCACACTTCTACACACCAATAAGCTAACATTTATTAGAGAAGGTCTGCTCCTTATTAAGACACAACACTTAGAATCTAGGATAATGACAAGAAAAAGACATAGCAGGCCTAAGAATCTGCCTTGTTTCTGAAGTGGAGCTGCAACTCAAGGCATTCTAGACTGTCTCAGTCATATAAAACTGAAGATCGCCCTAACTTGCACTCCAGGTGGGTTCTGTAAAGAAATCTGCATCTTCACAGATGCTTCCTAGCTGACTGGGGTTCCGAGAATTAGGCAATAAATGTTCACTGTGCACTCAGATCATTGCTTAAAAGGTTTTCTCTGCCAAGTATTATTAAAAGGATCAGGTTACATCGTGATAGGCCAAAGCTGTGTTGTAGGACTCCCACAAATGGGAATGAAAGAACTTCTTATGAGGCTCTGGGAAACCCTTCTAATCTAATAAAGTACATCCCATAAACAGTTAATCTCAGTTTGATTCTCTCTACAAATACCATCCAAAGGCACAAAAGGGGGAGAAATCTAGTGTATGTATTTCACTTTGAATCATTGAAAACCATTCAAGTAGAAACAAGAAGTTCCTGAAACATCATAGACTCAAGACCAAGTTGTCTTTTTCAGTAGTCTTTTCAAACCAATGTAGATGGCCAAGAGATGATTGGGAAACAAAGCCGACTTGAAATTAAAGGACTGTAAACTACTGTACCATGTTCTTTTTTTGTGTGTCAGCTAACTCCATAAAACAGGAAAAAGACTTGGCATTTTTGGATGGAATGATTTTAAAAATAAAAGATGAATACTAAGTCATGACCAAAAAACAAACAAAACTGCTAGCATCCTGTCACATTCCCATAGCCAAAGCATTTTAAGCAGTCAAAAGATATTTTTCTAAAAACATGAACTGTCTGCTTCCTTATCATGAGTACATCTTTTTCTATCATAGCCTTAGTGAAATTAACCAAGACAGGAAGGTTAACTTAATCTAAATGTCAGAGTCAGTGTGAATCTATTAAGTGGCACACACACAACTCCCACCGTTGAGCTTCTGTTTAGTAGTCAGACTCAGGAACTAAATGCTACTGTAAAAGAAACATGCTAAGCCCAAGAGGTCAAGGCTGAAATGAGCTGTGTTCGCACCACTACACTCCAGCTTAAGAGCGAGACCCTGTCTCAAATGTAAAAATAAAAAATAAACATGTTAATACTTCCAAAATACTTTAAAAATAATTCTTGGAAAGTTTCAAAGCCCTTTGTCCTTTAGTCTATAAATATGAATTCTTTATTACACAAGGGAGAAGAGCAGAAGCTCTAGAGCCACAGACCCAGCTCCAAGATATGGTTCATATCTATTCCAGCTGTGTTATTACTCTTTCTCGATTTGTTTTTCTGTAAACTGGGGACGACAGTACTTGGTTCACAAAGTTTTAAGAAGGGATTAGATGAAATAAGGAATTAGATGAAATAGAGGTTAACTTAGCAAGATACTTAGTTTTAGTATAAGATAGGGTTGTTTTTTGTTTGTTTTTGCCTGGAGTGTGTGTACATAATAGATACATTTAAAAATCTATGAAACCACCATATTTACCATGACATCACATTATGGTAAAGTGGTAAAGAGTACAAATGAGAATGTGTGATTAAAATAAAATCCTACACAGATTAGACCCTTTAAATAAATGGCACACATTTAATACATGGAATACTGTTTTAGGGAGAATGGAGGGATGTTTCTGAATATAAGCAGTGGGAAAATACCTTAGTCCAACATAGATGCTTTCACCTAGGTTAGTCATTAGTAAATCAGGTTACACACTCCAGATATCCATGTCACAGTGTCAGTGTGTATTTGGACTAAAAAGACACATCCTTGATTACAGATAGAAGTACAATGAGGCTTACCCCTTGTCTTCATCCATCTGTACTGCCATGATGAAATGTTTTGGACTAATTTTTAAACAATACAATTTTATTTCTCATTGTTCTGGGAGGTCCAAGATCAAGGCACCAGCAGATTCTGGTGAGGTCTCAGTATCTGCTTCAAAGATGCTACCTTCTAGCTGTGTCCTCCTCACATGGCGGAAGAAGCAAGGAAACTACCCCAGGCATTTTTTTTTTTTTTTTTTTTTGCAACCTTGCTCTGTCACCCAGGCTGGAGTGCAGTGGTGCGATCTCGGCTCACTGCAACCTCCGCCTCCTGGGTTGGAGCCATTCTCCTGCCTCAGCCTCCCAAGTAGCTGAGATTACAGGCGTCCGCCACCACGCCCAGCTAATTTTTTGTATTTTTAGTAGAGATGGCATTTCACTGTGTTAGCCAGGACGGTCTCGATCTCCTGACCTCGTGATCCGCCTGCCACGGCATCCCAAAATGCTGGGATTTCAGGCGTTGAGTCACTGTGCCTGGCACCCAGGCCTTTTTTATAAGGGCACTAATCCCATTCAGAGAAAGCAAAGCCCTCATGACCTAATCACCTACCAAAGGCCCCACCTCTTAGTACTATTACCTTGGGTGTTACAACATGTGAATTTGGAGGAACACAGATTTAGATCATACCACCCCTAAATTTAACCTGTGGCAGAAAAATTTTAATTTCTATATTTGAGTTTCTAACGTGTAGTCATATTATCAAAGACATTTAAAGTGCCAATAGCTCTGAATGTATCCATTAGCTTTAACATATCAGAAAAATGATTGGAAAATATGTAACATAAAACAAAATTCTGCTTTAAATTAGCTCTTTCTGGCTTTTTTTTTTTTTTTTTTTTTTTTTTGAGACAGAGTTTTGCTCCTGTTGCCCAGACTGGAGCGCAGTGGCATTATCTCGGCTCACCGCAACCTCCGCCTCCTGGGTTCAAGCGATTCTCCTGTCTCAGCCTCCCAAGTAACTAGGATTACAGTCATGTGCCACCATGCCTGGCTAATTTTGTATTTTTAGTAGATGGGGGTTTCTCCGTGTTGGTCAGGCTGGTCTCGAACTTCCGACCTCAGGTGATCGGCCCGCCTCCGCCTCCCAAAGTGCTTGGATTATAGGCATGAGCCACAGCGCCGGCCTCTGGCTATTACTTCTATAAGTGGAGGACATGATTCTTCAAATTACAAATGTGAATTGTCACTTTTATGGTTTCATTGAATCCTCAGTCTATTATAACAAGGGTCGGCAAACTTTTTTGTAAAAGACCAGATAGTAAATATTTTAGATGTTGTAGGTAATATGTAAACAAATGAGTGTAACTGTGTTCAAGTAACTTTATTTAGAAACAATGAAATGTGACTTTAATATAATTTTCCTGTGTTATGCAATAATCTATGGATTTTTAAAAACCTTCTACAACTGTAAATTCCATTTTTTGCTCACAGGCCTTTCAAGGGAGATTTTTAAAAAAGATTAAAATGCATAAAACTGAATTTTATGATTGGCCAGGTGTGGTGGCTCAGCACTTTTGGAGGCTGAGGCAGGAGGATCACTTGGGCCTGGGAATTCAGTACCAGCCTGGGCAACATAATGAGACGCTGTCTCTGCAAAAACTAAAAAATCAGCCTGACATGGTGCATGCCTGTAGTCCCAGATCTGTGGGAGACTGAGTGGGGAGGATGGCTTGAGCCCAGCCCACCCGAGGCTGCAGTGGGCCATAACTGTACCACTGCACTCCAGCCTGGGAAATAGCCGCAGACCAGATTTGGTCCATGAACCATAGTTTTTCAATGTATTATAAAATCAATTAAGAAATGGTAGTTTTTTGTAATCCCAGCACTTTGGGAAGCCAAGGAAGGAGAATCACCTGAGGTCAGGAGTTCGAGACCAACCTGGCCAACATGGCGAAACCCTGTCTCTATTAGTAAAGTACAAAGATTAGCTGGGTGTGGTGGCAGGTGCCTGTAATCCCAGCTACTCAGGAGGCTGAGGCAGGAGAATTGCTTGAACCTGAGAGGCAGAGGTTGCAGTGAGCAGAGATCGCGCCACTGCACTCCAGCCTAGGCGACAAGATTGAGACTCCGTCTCAAAAAAAAAAAAAAGTAGTTTTTCCTGGTCTTTATAGGCTAATTCAATATACGAGACAAAGAATCATCATCGACATCAAGGAACACAGTGCTTATGACATTCTTTATTCAATTCACATAGAAAAGCATGCAGTATTAATGTAAAACAGTACAATATTAATGTAAAATGTTCAGTGCACATTAAACAGCATACATACCCATTTTTAAAGACCTATATAGGCATACCAAATACGTTTAGAACAATACACTTTTTCAGAGCCTAAATTAAAAATTGTGCTTACCTCTTACCTATCTTCACCCCCTCAACACTCTTCACAGAAAAGTTTTGTCCTACATAAAAGATATTCTATCAGCCAACTGAAACCTCTTTTTCTTAAGTATGGAAAACACAGCAAGCAAAAATGCTACCATGCATAGTTTCCACAAAGAACAGGAACATGCAAACAAGAAACATACTACTCAAAAGAAAACTCCCCTGGAATGCAAGTGGATCAAGAACTTGGCGATGAGCTCTTTCAAACCTGTTACATCTGGAACAATGAAGCTATGATGTTTTAGGTTCCTCTAAACCCAAGTGCTCCATGCCTTCTTTCCATAGTATGCTAAATTTCTGATTTTACACACATACACACACACGCAGAGGAGAAAATGTAAGCTACCTAACATAAAACAAATGTCTTCATATAGAAAATGTTTTCTTTCATACTAGCAGAACATTTTCACAAAACTGGACAAAACACAATGCTAAAAAATGCAAACATATACATAAAACCTAAAAAAAGAAAGTAAATCAATATTGGACTAAGGCTAGAGTGCTATTTCTCCATCATGGCCCTGCAGAAAAACTAGGCCATCACTAAACATAAATAAAAAGGGACAGGTAAAATAATTTCCACCCTGGGAAAAGCTTAAACTCAAGTGTCTTATTGAGCAGTGTATAGACAACACTAAAAGTTTTATTTAAGAAATCCAAGTTCTGAAGACAAGTGGGGCTTATCAACAGGCCACTGTATCTAACAGTTAAATAACATTTTTTAAAAAAACAATGTATATCCAACCGAGATACATATCAAATTCAGTAAAAAAACAAAACCAAAAACAAAACCAACCAACCAACCAACCCCAAAACACAAAAATAACCTCCTCCCTAACTTCTCTGGTCACAAAGACTCCCAAATAAAAATGAAAAGAACAAAGTCTTTTCAAAATGAACAATAAGTATTCTGGGTACAGGTTAATCCACCATCCTGACTTGATACTTGACTAAAGATTATCAATTCCAATTTGTATAGAACTTTTATGAGGAAAAAAGGTAACTTTAACAACTTTTCTATTTCTCTCAGGACAAAACCACAAATGACACCTTTCTAATGAGTCAACTTTTAGTTGCTTTTGATGGGCTGGCACTGGAAAGGCTGCTCTGGATTTTTCTTTTTGTTGATTGATTCACATTTTTATTCCTCTTTTCAGGCACAAAGGAAGTAGACCAAGGAGACTGAAGGTGGTTATGAAGACTGTGCATCTCTGAGGACATCTTAAACAAAGATGACCCAAATCTTTGATCTTCAAATAGTCGATGTGAACTGCTTAACAAAATGCCCTGGGAAAACTCTGTCTGAAACAAGCAGCTTGGGGGTTTGATTTCATTAGTTACTGGACAAGAACTGGAATGGAGTGAAAAATCTTCATTCATTTCTTGGTCAGATGGAGAGAGGAGAAAAAAAGAAGTGGGTTTCCATTCACTTCCATTTTCTAACTGATCATTAGTTAGAGAACCTTTGGAAAGGTTTAGCTCAGTTTTTTCTTCCAACTTATCAGGTTCCTCAAGAAATTCACTGCCTTGAGATGACTTTGATAACCCATCCAAATCCAGTGACTTAAAACCGTTATTACAAGGGCTCTTGCTGTTGTCTGACTCTGACATCATTGAATCCAACTCAGAGATTTTGTCAAGGTAAGCAGCATCCATCGATGCTTCACTGGATGTTCTTGTCCGGTTCATTTCAAAAGAGCGAATAGAATTCAACCTTTTGGATAAACATAAGCCTGATTTCTCACTCAATTTTGAAGATATTTCTCCAACAGAATTTGCTATCGTGTTCCCCTCTGAACTTTCAAAATCTAAGTTTTGGGCATAGCTTGTGGAACAACAGTCCCAAAATCCTGTCTTTGGGGAAGAAAAACATTCTGATTTCTTTTCATTTTCACTTCTACTTATATCATCTTCTGAAGAATCTTTATTAGAAACATTTGAAGAATCACAAAAATCATCAAACACCAATTTTCTGAGATGGTTTGAGTGCTTTTTGGAACCTCCTGCTTGGACCACAGAGCTCTCTCTATTTTCTGGAGTACTGAGCTGAAGGCAACTAAGGGACAAAGGAGTACAAGGAGCTGGAAGATCATAAAGTTCTTCATCTTTGTAGGGTACACAGTCACTTGGTTTATTCCCCCATTCTCTTTCCAAATAAGTATCCATACTTGTATCTGTCACATCTAACATTACTTCTACCTGTTCTTGATATAGGTCTTTGTTCTTAGAACAGTTAAGGTCTGCTTTGCTGGTACTTTCCTGCCTTGCAGAACTGGTGTCACACAGTCTGCTGCTGGAAGGCTTCGCTAGGTGAGAAGAACTGGAGGTGGATGAGCCAGGCTGCTTTCTGGCACTATCGCCTTGATTCTTTGACACCACATCCTCCTCACTGCCTTTGCTCCCTTTGCCATCTGCAGAAAGTGCTGTCTGGCAAATGGAATTCATAGCTTCTTTCTCTTCACTTGAATTTTTTAGCTGTGCAACTTGAGATTCTAGTTCCTCTATATACTTATCACTTCGTTCCAGGGCTTTCTTGAGGCGATTGGTTTCACGCTCATACTGTTCTACTTTGGACTGAAGAGCAGCAACTGCAAACCTTCCAAACCTACAAAGAATGGAAAGATAGTTAATCTTATAACTCAAGCTTTTTTCTTTTCAAGGTTTGAGAGTGCAAACTGTCCCAGGCTATTCTAATTTCACCTAACAGTGACATTTCAGACCACTCAATGAGTAGGGCAAATGCCAGATGTATATTTTCAAAAAATGGTTTCCCCACTTACATAATAATAAACATATGATAATAATAGCAAAACCTAATAGGATATTTTTGTGGTTAAATCAGATCTATGGTAGCAGAGAGGCAGAAATGTGCTGATGATTTCCCCTCGAAGAGCTGGCTGTATCAATTCAGCTCATATATGCATGAAGAGTTATCCCCTAAAACAATGGCAAAGATTTATGATAACATTTGAACAGTGGTCTACATCTTGAAATATTTACATTCAATCATTTTCCTATCATACAGCAGTGTTTTACAATACATTTCTTATATAATGTCACCTTGTCAAACATAAAATGCCAATTTGAAATTCAGAAATCTTAGCAGTCCCAGGAGGGGTGGTTTTAAATACTTATTTGGGCCCTTTCAATTATAGCCACCCTTGATCTGAAGCTTTTCTGTGGCTTTTCAGAGCACTGGCCTTTAATTTATGTCAGCACTACTTATTTTTGGCATTTTACAGCTGTGTGGGACATCTATCTCATTTCTTTCAACTTTGAAATATGAAGTCAGTGCTTGTGATTCCAATATACTAGGCAAAAAAAAAAATTTTTTTGTACACTTTCTGAAAGAGAACATTTTGGAGAGTGACTGAAAAAGAATTCCCTTATTCACAAAAAGTCTACTCCTTTTACACCGGGATTATCTTGCTGTTATTTCCACCAAGAATGAGTACTGTGTTAAGCTCAGGAAACAATTTTTGAGTACCTAGTATAGGTTAGGTGGTATATTTGGGGCTGGGAACACAAAAGATAAAAAAGACTGTCTAGCTCCAAGGGACATAAAATATCTACCTTAAATTCAATCTTATCACCAAAAATAAATTCTATCTTTCAGGAAACTTATGAGCCAATAAATAACATAATCCCGTGAAAAATACCTTATCTCCTCCAAAATTCTTTTCAAAGCCTATTCTTAATCATCTTTTTGATGATTTATATATTGGCCCATTTCTAAGAATTAAGGGATTGTCTGTTTGGAGGAAGCTATGAGAAGGTGACTTTCAAAAATTATTTTTATCTTTGGGTTTATCTTTTTCTTCCTTTTTTCCCCTAATTTGAAAAATAATTACAATTAAGAACATGTATTTAGTATTGAAAAAAAAAACTACAAAAAAAGCAGAAGCCAATAGCAATTGCCCCTCTTAGAATCAACCACAACATGTTTTCAACTCCCACTTAATGCCCATCACCTCCTAAACCACTAGCCCAATTCATTCCCCATCTCAACCCCTACATAATCCCTGCACTCTTATCACTGAAGGAAAAAGCAGAGGCAAAGGTAAATATAGAATCATAAAATCTCAAGATTAGAAAGGGCTTTAAAAGACATGATTGCTGAATATTGATTTACTCACTGCAATTAACTGAACCCCCAGAGAGAGCACGCTCCCTTCAACTTCTAAAAAAACACAGCAAAAACCACAGGTATAACAAAAACAAAAGCAACTATAATAACAAGCCTCCCCATTTTAAAGACAAAGTTTACTACTGTATTTGGTTAAATGAATGATGGGAATTTTTCTTCTTTGTTAAAAATGTTTTGGCTTATAAATGTAGTACTTCACAGAGTTGTAGTTCTGCAAGAGAACTTTTAAAAAGTGGGCAAAGACCTTTCAGTACATTAAGTACAAATGTTTGTTAGTTCTTGATTGTAACTACTCTGGCATAATCAAATAACCCACATTTTTAAATGGAAAAACTGTAGTATGTTTATTTAATGCCAATAAGCAAAAGTGACAGCCTTACATTTGCTTATCAAGATAAATTTCTTCAAGTAAAATTTTTTATAATAAAGGTATCTCCTCAGATAAAAAAATCAAATGACTTAAAATCAAATAATGCTACTACATAGTAAGTCAGTTGCTACCAAAGGATATCTTTGGGAACTTAGAGGCCTACACACAGAAAGACTACTCAAAAATAAAGAATGCTTCCCAAAATATTACCAGCTTCTTGTTCCAGGGTTTTAGCTTGGAATTTCAAATATAGTATCATCTTAAGATACTGTATTTGCCTCTCTCTCTCTATATATTTTTTTTTTTTAGAAATTATGTTTTTAAAAGAAGTAACATATGGTTTGGAGTTGAAGTCAATGAGAGCCCTAAACATAATTTTTGTGTTATTTCAGAGAGAAGTAACAAAGGCCAGTAGCAGATCACATATGAGAGGCACAAGCAAGCAGAAGTCACTGATGGAGTTAGGCTGTTTTCTAAAAGGCCACTGCCCCCAATTTCCTTAAGTTTCCTTTCAATACTCTATAAATCTATAATACTTTCAGTGATCAGGCCCTTCTCCCATGCTAATAAGGGACCTGTGCTGGTTGGCAGACTGACAGAAATGTATACTAAAAGCCATGCAACTGATCAATTAATCAATTCATGTAATTTATTTGCTTTCTTTCTCCCACGTTAGAATAGAAGCTCAAGGAGAGCAGGTAGTTTGTCTTATATTCACTGCCAGATTCCTAGAACAATTCCTGGTATACGGCACTTGCCTGTTGTGTATTTCTTGAATAAAAGTCATTCTCTTACTTTAAGATACACTAGTGCCTTACATTGAGACAGGGTTGACACCACAGGATAAGCTAAAGGTCCTTGGCCTTCTTTTTACATGTTAAGTATTATGACAGTCACTGTATTACTAAAGTAAACATGTTTTGTTTACTACATTTGACTGTTTACTTTATTTCACTGACACCCAGGAAAGCAACAGAGACTGACATATGTACAGTACAGCCTTTTTTGCTACAGGCTTGACATTCTATACTGCTCCACCCCAAAAAACTTCACCTTAGTAAGACTGCAAATAGATGAGACTTTTGACATGTGTCAGGAAATTTTCAGCTTATCCAAGATAACTATATTAAATTTGGCAAAGGGCAATTTACCTTATTATAGAGAAATAACAATTAGGGATAAGTATCTGATGCTATACTTCCATAGAAGAAGGACATGAGCTTATTTATCTTTGGGTTTTAATACTTTTGTATTCACACTAATTCTAGATATTTGGAGTATACAACACTAAATGAAGCTATGCCAAGGCAAGCCGGAGGGATTTCTAATATCATTTACCATACTTCCTCCTTTTCTTGAGTAAATTTCAAAATGGAGTATTTTTATAAACATTCCATTAGAGACCAAAAGGCTTTGATTTTCAAAGTAGCAGTGATGGCCAAAGGCTTCATTGTGCCAGAAAAAACACTGCAGAGCAGTTTGGGAGCTACAATTGATATCGGAACTGTATTCTGCCAGAATCTAACAGAAGCTTAAAGGATTTTTCAGCTTGCAATATTAACTGATACATACATTCTGGATGAGAGAGAAAAGGATGCCAGTTCCCCTTGTCCAAATAGCTCTAAGAGATACAAGATCATTTCTGTCCCTAGTAAAAGAGAAATGGAAGTCCTATTGGTATGACCTTTGAGGTGGTATAACTAAACTAAAGAGCATCTCTAACAACAAAAAGTTCCTAAGACCATATTTTCTCATAGTCTATCACACAGAAAAACAGGACGTGTTTGAAGAAAACAAATGTGGTAAAAGAATACCACACCTGAGTACCAAAAAACTAATAAGCTCTAGTGCTACGCTACTATCCTTGAGCAATTCACTTTGCCTTTCTGGTTCTCAATGGCAATTCCAACAAAATGGGTAAATGCAGCAAGCCCAGTGGGTGGCCAAGACTGCCAAAATTCAGAAATGCCTTCTTGAGGAGGAACAAGGGGGACATTGGGGAAGTCAGTCCACTTGCCTCATCAAACTTTGACTTTATATGTTTCCCTCACTTGGTAGCTGAGGTAATGAAACAAAGCGAAAGCTATCTTTGGACCTGGACCAGCTTTTGTGGTGTGGCCTATCTGACAGGTTTTCAGTGTTGATATCCTTGCTTTATATGGTTCCAATATGCACAAATTTCAGTTACCATGGTTTAATTTACAAGTCACCCAACAATATGGTTCAAATTTCAGTTACCACACCATTATTAATGAGTAACTGCATGAAGTAAAACCTTCACTTCTAGCTTTTCAGTTCAAAAAACACTACATAAATAATAGACGTGCTTCATGATCAGTGACCCATCAAGTCACTTCTTTCAAGGTCAGTCAGTGATTAGTCACTGTGCATTTACCTGTTTTTCAGTTAACATACAGACAGCAAAGTGTGCAGCTGGGCTGCTCCTTGTCTCCCAGTAAAAAACCCGCATGACATTTCACAAAAACAGTTAATAAAACGACAGAACTGGTCAACAAAGATGAAGGTGTAACAAAGAAATAAACAATGATAACATTGGAAGTGAAATTGAAATCAAATGTAAATGTAGTTATGGAAGAAATCACTGACTGTGGGAATATTACAACAATGTCAGTCCATTCAAGAAATTCTAGATATGCCAGAAGCACTTTGTAGAGGCAAACTTATTGACATGGATGAGAAAAGTGGTGGTGAAAAGGATGAAGATGTCTAGAGAAAATGACAGGCTGACAAAACACTTCGCACTAAAGCAATGTGGAGCTCTTTCACGATATTGAGAGCAAACGATAAAATGCTGGAAGTTGATGCAAACTTAGGAGTGTGAAAATTCATCAAGGTATCAGAAATGATGCTAGCTTCATATCATAAATTATATGAGAAGGGAAGCACTATTCAAATTATTCTCCAGAAGTTTTTCACAAAAAAACCACGAATTCTCAATATTTCTCATGTTTCAAATTGTACTACATAAATATCAATGTACTAAATATTACTTTTACTGTTCTTGCCTATCCATATACATATGTAATTGATAATAAGAGTTAAATGTTTTGACAAAGTTGCTAAAGGTCATCAAACAATTGTGATTTTTCCCATTAATTACTAAGACTGCTTTGGTCCATGGCTCATGCCTGTAATTCCAATGCTTTGGGAGGTGAGGCAGGAGGATGGCTTCAGCTCAGCAGTTCAAGACCAGCCTAGGCGACATAATGAGATCATGTCTCTCCAAAAAAAAAAATATATATCAGGCACAGAAGCATGCGCCTGTAGTCCCAACTACTCAGGAGGCTGAAGCTGGAGGATCGCTTGAGCCTGGGAAATCAAGGCTGCAAGTGGGCTTCATAAAGTAATGGTTGATATGGGACAAAACCAAATAAATTTATGTGTCTCAAATATTTTTCTTTAAAGAACTGCCACTTAATCTGAGAAAGAATGATCCATTCATAGAATGGATTTTATTGTGGACTTGCCTGTCTACATAGCCATAGTAGCTTCTCATTTCCTAAATTTCAGAAATATTAGGAAAGTATCTTTTCTATTTTAAACACAGGGAGCTAAGGTTTCAGAGAGAAGAGCTTTCCATTTGCCCTTTCCTTTCTTAATTATATCTCCCAACACACAATCTACCAGTTTCAGATTCTCTGAGTTTCCTAACTCCTCTTTTTGATTACACTTAATAAGTGAGTAGCCTTAACAGGAGCTCTATAGAAATCCGAGTTTTGACAGAAGTGAGAAGAAAAATGAAAAGGTCCTGGTACTGGTATCTATCTTGTGTACATGTGTGCAGGGTGGGTGGGGCACAATTTAGGAAAAGCGGACAGGGAGGACCAGAGCTGTAGGAAACCCAAAACTGTGTTAGGTGGTGGGGGAGAAGGTTCAAAGCCTCTGGCATCTCTTTTCTCTCACCTGCTTCCTATGGATCATTTGTGCATTACCCATCCTTGTATATGTGTTGGGAGGGTAGAGAGGAAACATTCTGTCTTTAAACTACTAGGGAAGTTTTGGGAAGCAACCCATACATTTATACTGTTGCTGAGCTATATAATTTGCCAATGTTTCCTCAAGAGAGTTTTCTCTTTTTAAAATTAAGCTGTCAGTTACAAAATTGCTACATTCCTAGAAATTTGTTAATCATAAAAGTACTATCTATGGTCAATCCTAGTCACACGCGTTGGTTCCACAAAAATGTTAAATGAGATATACTGAAAGAGAACATTTAAAAAAAAAAAAAAAAGGAAAGTGAACTTTTGGCTGGAATTTACCGAAAGTAAGTGTAACAAATACATCTTTAACACTGCATAACTGACTACTATTGACAATGATGATGACAAAAAGAAAAGCAGCTGCCACAATTCATTGTTTACTTGGCATCAAGCACAGTGCTATATGCTTGATATATATTATCTCATTTAATCCTCATATCAACTTTATGAAGCAAGATTCATTATTCTTATTTTAAAAATGAGAAATGAGAAGCTTAAAAGGGGCTTAGCAGCAGGAATAGGATTTGAATCCAAGTCCTTCTGAACCCATACACCATGTTTGAAATCGTATTAAATACTTGAACATAAGGCCCTTCTTAAATAATATCAGTACCTATTTATATTTCATATCAAAATGTAGACTAGATTTTTCTAGGCAAAATGTGTATACAGAGTCAATGAACTAGGATTCTTGTGCTATTTATTGGTACATACATTGGCTAATAGAAACACAGAGGAAATACAAAAATTGTAGGAAGACATATAGTATGTATGCACAAATTCAGTAAACATTTATCAAACCACCACCATATTTTAGGCATAAATCCAGTAATATTTTGAAATTTTAAAAGATCATTTATTAAAGTGGCCTTGCATGAAAGTACAGCATTGACAGACCACCCTGGTAAATGCCAACCCAAATATTTAACCAGAGATATAAAGACTAAGTTTGAAACAGAGCTGAAAGCATAATACTTAAATGTGCTATGTATAGAAAGTATGTATGATAAACTTGCCTGGTTCATGCACAATCAGCAGGTATCTTCAACTACAAGTAAAAGATGTTTTTTATATGAAATGAGAAAAACTAAATGCAAAATTTTAAGGCCTAAACATCACATGGGTTATTTCTCAGGGTATAATTAAGAGAAATAAAAAAATACAAGCTACGTTATGTTGCATCTTAGTTTTATCACAAAACAGAAAGTGTTCCAATATTTGCAAGAATAAAAAATGCCAGAATTTCACCCTTAAAGACAAAGTTGATAAAGACAGGGGAACAAGACAAAGAATTATGCCCTTGCAGTAATTCCTTATCCCTCCATCTTCTAAAAGTACCATTTAAAAATCAAAGTAGAGTTTGCTTTTCAAGTTTTCAAATGAAGAGCAGGGTTAATAATTAATAGCTTATATTATTAACACTATATTATTCATTTATTTTTGAGACAGGATCTCATCCTGTCACCCAGACTGGAGGACTGGAGTACAGTGGCATGATCACGGCTCACTGCAGAACAAAATTTTAAAGGAAATTCTTTGTGTGTTTATCTTATTAAACCAACTATGCATTTGTAGTTAAAAAACTGTGGTGAAAATTCTGAGATGCCTTAGAAATTAATAAAAATGACCTGAGTGTTGAACAGCATATGTGAACTGAAGAGGAACAGACAGCTCCCTTTTGTGGTAAACCTCTAAGGGCTGACCCACATAGTATTGGGTCAGCAGGTGGATAAGGAGAAATACAGAACTAAACTGTGTTCCATGCTGGCCAATTTCACCCTACTTGCTTCTGTGGCAATTGGAACATGGTCTCTGGCCTTCTGTTTGGAAACTGCAACTAGTTAGCCTCCATTTCCAAGGTTTCTTTCCTTCTCTCTGGGCAGCACACTGGGCAAAGTTGCCCAAAACAGGATGCCTAACTCTAAGTACTACTTTCTCTGCATTGCCTGTGAGGACAGACTACTCTTTTTACTGTGGAATAAATTCTATTCTATTTGACAAATATATCTCATTTTGATTCCATGCAGAAATGCCCTCATTTTCTCCCCTCTGCTCCCTTCAACCAACCAAGATCAGCCTTGAAATTTGCAGGACATTAACAGGGATCCTAATCTGTCATGGAAAGGAGAGAAAATTAAGACATGCTATTTCATATCTTTTTATTTCTAAGAGAAATTAAAGGACTTACATCTTTTCCCAAAATAAAATAACCTTAACAACAAAATCTCAATACTGTAAAAGAGTGCAACTACTGTTGAGTGATAAAAAATATACTTAAAAATCTCTGGATTAGTATCTACCTGTCTATACATTTTCCACCTTAACTAAATGATCTCTTATTCTCTCTCAGCATGAAACAAAATCTAAAAGAAAACGAAACACAACAAAAAACTGATCTAGATACCCTGTAATTATTACTCAGATGACAGTTATTGAGGACTAATGTGTGCTCAGGGGCTATGAAGAAGGAAAACAAAGGAAGTAGAAGTGATCATTCCTCTTCTCAAACAGTTCATAATCTCTCTGACAACCTTACTGCTTAGTCATTAGCATGCACTGCCGCCTCCCCAAGTACCTTATCAATACAATAAAGACAAACTGACAGAAAACTGCAGTACCTGTCTATCCCCAATTAAGTGAATATCCAGAGAAGGGTCCCTCAGGCAGCCAAGGGGCCTGAGCACAACTGGCTGTCACAGTCTGGCCCCAGGGTATCATCAGGCTCCCCTGACAGTCTACAAGTTCCCCTTCCGGGAAAACCAAAGGCATAGCAGAATCAGTCATTGGATCAGGCTAGGGTCAAATACTAGGAAATCACCACATTTGTCAGAGAAGAATCGTGATAAACAAAAAAGGCCAGAATAGGTCAAGAAGGGACAACAGCAAGAGCCAGCCAGACCAGCAGTGTTGATGAGGAACCAAAAGGTTAGAGCATTACTAGCACATCTTGAGACATAGTTTAGAAAGAGCAGACCTGTGAAATGGAACTAACTGCACAGCTCAGAGTCAGCATGGAGACAGGTAAAGGAAGGAAAATCTGATTCAAGTAAATAGATGCGGACAAGAAACTCAAGACTATAGCCAGGCAAGTCCCTACTATCACCTCCTCTGTTTCTCTTTCTAACTCTGAATCTCTGGCATAACTTAAAGAGGAAAGCTTCCAGAAATCCTTTGCTCTAATGTGGAGAAAGTTCCAGGAATCTCTGATTTCCTGTTTTCTTACATCCTTTGTACTTTAAGCTTCAAGTATTAAAGTATAAGGACTCTTTCCTTCTGTAAGACTCCATAAAAGGAAGATACACACACATATATACGTATTTTGTACAAATACACAAATGTGCATTTAAAAAATATGTCTTGGTGCCAAGGAGCTGCCAGATTAACTGGGTACGACAGTCATGGAAATGATCAACATACAACACGATCATTAAAACAACAGGGTAGAAGAAGAGTAATCAAAAGTACAAGAGGAAAATGCTACCTCTGTCTAGGAAAATTAGGGAGGGCCTCACATATAAACCAACAACTGGGCTAGATCTCAAAGGACAGACAGGGATTAACCAGGAAGAATAAAAACAAGAGAAGCTAATGTGGAGAACCAGGGAAAATACAGTATGATGAATGTGGGCCCAATGAGAAATTCAGCATAGCCAGAGCAGAGCACAAGAAGCGAGGGGCTAGAGAAGAGGCAAGGATATTAAACTGAAGTTATATAGTAAAGACCCTTTTATACTAGACCAAGAATATTGGGGCCAGGCGTGGTGGCTCACACCTGTAATCCCAGACTTTGGGAGGCCAAGGCAGGCGGATCATGAGGTCAGGAGATCGAGACCATCCTGGCTAACACAGTGAAACCCCATCTCTACTAAAAATACAAAAAATTAGCCGGGCATGGTGGCGGGCGCCTGTAGTCCCAGCTACTCAGGAGGCTGAGGCAGGAGAATAGCATGAACCCAGGGGGCGGAGCTTGCAGTGAACTGAGATGGTGCCACTGCACTCCAGCCTGGGCGACAGCACAGGAAAGAAAGGTAAGCAGTAGAAAGGCTGTTACAACAGGCTAGGCAAGAAATAATATGGATCTAAACTAGTGAAAATGAGAAGATGGATTACAGAGGCATTTTAAAAAGGTAGGCTATAGAGAACATACTAAAGTACTAAAGTCATTAAGAAGGACAGGAACAAAGCGGATCTTTTGCATGGGATGGGGGATTATGAATATGATTTTTTAGACATACACATTCCCCCATCCCACCTCTACCTGTTTTATTTATTCTAAAAAAAAAAAAAAAAAAAAGGATACATGTGCAGAACATTCAGGTTTATTACATAGGTATACGTGTGCCATGGTGGTTTGCTGCACCTACTGACCCATCCTCTAAATTCCCTCCCCTCAGCCCCCACCCCTTAACGGCCCTGGTGGGTGCTGTTCCCTTCTCTGTGTCCATGTGCTCTCAATGTTCAATTTCCACTTATAAGTGAGAACATGTGATGTTTAGTTTTCTGTTCCTGTGCTAGTTTGCTGAGGATAATGGCTTCCAATTTCACCCATGTTCCTCCAAAGGACATGATCTCATTCCTTTTTATGGCTGCATAGCATTCCATGCTGTATATGTACCACATTTTCTTTACCCAGTCTATCACTGATGGTCATCTGGGTTGGTTCCATGTCTTTGCTATTGTAAATAGTTCTGCAATAAACATATGCAAGCATGTATCTTTATAGAAGATTTATATTATTTTGTCTTCCCATTCTTTATACGACACATCATGTCAAGGTAATAGATTTCCTTTAATCCTCATAATAACGCACCCTCATTTTATGTTAAAAAAAGACTTCAAGGTTAATTTATCCAATGTTATTTACTTGTTTATTCATTCAATTATTCAAAAAATATTTATCAGGTATCTTCAGATACTGGGGGCTTTGGAAATGAAGGGGATAGGCAGCAAGGAGCTTAGAGTTTAAAATGGAGCTTAGAGTTTAGAATGGAGGAGACAGACAACAAACAGGCCACGCAATTAAATGAACAAGACAATTTCAGACAGTGATAATGGCTGTGAAGACAATACTATAATATTAATTGCTAACTATGGACTCTGTTAAAAGGGTATTTTAAGTTTCATTTAACTCTTACTATTACTTACAAGATAGGTAGTACTATTAACCCTACTGCACAGAAGACAAAAACTGAGATACAGAAAGGTTAAATATCTTTGTCTAAATCACAGAGCTAGTAAGTAGGCAAGATTAGTGTTCGGTCATATGGAGTCTGGCTCCAAGGTTTGTGTTCACAATCACCATGCTCTACTGTTTTACCCAACCATGATTTTATTATTATGGTCTTCTGTTAAGGCAGTAGAAGGTGCTGAGTGAAAGGGCTGCTTTAGATTGAATGATCAGAAAAGGCTTCCCTTCATCTGAGGATTGAAGGAGACAGCCATGTAAAGATCTGCAAGGAGAGTATTCTAAGCAAAGGAAATAAACACAGCATGTTTTAGAAACAAAGTCTAGTAGAACTGGAGTAGGATGAGATGGAGGAGTTAAGAATTAGACGAAGAAGAGGTGGCAGATGCAGACTAGCCAGTGAAGAGTCTGGATTTTATTCTAGGAAAACACTGAATAGTTTTAAGCAGGAGATTTAAATAATTTTATATGTACTTTATTAAAAGACAGTTTTGAGTATGGTGAAAAATGAATTGGGTAGGGAAAGGACGGACAAAATGGAAGAAGGGAAATTTGAATCCAGGAAGTCTGATTCCAGAGTTAAGCTCTTAACCACCGTGCTCTGTGGTTAATTTGAGGTATAGAATCTCTGGTAAAGGCACAAAAAAGATAGATGAAAACATGAACCTGCAGTTCAGGAGAGAATGTGAGGTCAAAGATTTTGATTTTGTTTTATAATCTCTGACACATAGGCAGACAATTATTAAAGCCCTAAGCTAACTGATTTTAAATTTCATTTCTGATGGCTCAAAAAATACAAATAGAGCAAAAAAGGAAGCAAGCCCAGGTCACAATCAATGAAGTCTATTCCTTCCTCTTCAGAACACTTCTTTTCATATCTTAATAACAGAAAATATTACTTACTGCCCAGAGTATCTAGAGCCTTTATCCTCCCCCAAAAGGAGCTGAGGCATTGCTGAAGACTTGTCCATAATGACAAGCCTTGGGGTTGCTGTACAGTAAAATGAACTGCACTCAGGGAGACATTATCAAACCCATAGATCTCACTAAAGACACAATGACAGAACACATAACATTCCTGCATACATATTTATAGAAAGAAAAGCCATTAATTCAATTATAACCAAGTTTGATATAAATGACCTAATAGTATATCCCATACTATTAAGGTGAGTTAGTAGCTGAGGACAAAAATACCTGCTCTACTAAATCCTCATAATAGTTGGTGACATAGCATGATCCCTGCCTCAAGTGGCTAGAGAAAAAAAAAGTGGCACAACTGAACAGAGACATGGAGAGAGGGCACAGAACTTTCAAATGCTTTACAAGTCAATTCTTCACATCTCTTCAAGTTAAAAAAGTCACTAAGGAACTTCTAACTCTACCAAGGATAAGTATATCCACATAGCTTGGCACAGTTTAGGAGTAGTAATTAAAGTCAAGGGAATTTAGGAATATGAGAAATCCAGTACTTAAGTGTTCCCTTCAGCTTCTTCCCTTTCTTGATGTTTCTTACCATGTGGGGATGTGACACGCTTCACATTCCCCACTAAATATTCAGACTGAGAACAGGCCCTTCTGCTTAGAGTAGAAAGTGGTGGATGTAGTGGAGTCATGCTACCAAACTATAAAAATAGAGGGATGATGGTCACAGTAGAGAGATGTAAAAATTACATGGACTTTTGCTCTGGTAAATTTGAGAAGAAAGCTAGTGTGCTTACTGAGTAGTACCACGATATGTGGCTACTACTACTGGAGAAAAAGGACTGGGGCTGAAGGGACCGCTTAGTACTCCTAACAGCACATGCTGTTTTCTCTCACTCAGAATGCCTTTCTCCTCCCTGAAATCTCCATCCTTCAAAGCTGGGCTTAAGTTCTTTTTGATAAAGATCTTCCTTATCCCTGCAACCTAACCATCATTCTCTGAACCCATACTGCTGTCTCTATTATTTGGCTTAGTATCTGTTAAGCATTTGTTTCATATATTTTCATGTCATGCCTTCATTAACTACTTTTCTGGAAGCAGGGACCATGTTTTGCTGGGGTTTTTTTCCTTAATATAAACAATTCTAACCATTCACAGAAGTAGGGAGAACATAATAAACTCCCATTTACTCATAACACATATTCAACAATTATCAAGATTTTTGTCTTATTTCCTTTGTATTATATCCTTTGCCTTTTGCCAAAGTATTCTATAGTTCATGTTTTAGGATGCATTTCCAAAAGAAAATATGGTGCCATAGACTAAATGTTTGTGTCCCCCATAAATTCTTATGTTGAAACCTAATCCCTAAAGTGATGGTATTTGGGGCAGGGCCAATAGGAGGTGATGGTATAATATTTAAAGGTAAGGGCTTCTGGGGCCTATAGGTCAAAAGGTTCAAGCCCTCATAAGTGAGATTAATGCCCTTAAAAAGATGTCCCACAAAGCTCCTTTGTCCTTTCTGCCATTCGAGGATACAGCAAAAAGACACAGCTGTCTATGAAGCAGGAAGTGGGCCTCACTAGACCAGCTGGCACCTTGATCTTGGACTTCTAAGCCTCCAGAACTGTAAGAAATAAATTTCTGTTGCTTATAAGCCAATCAGTTTAGGGTATTTTGTTATAGCAGCCCAAAAGGACTAACATAAATGGTGTTTTCTTAAGTAATCATGATACCTAAACAAAATTAAGAGTGATTCCTTGCTATTATTTCATTTAATACTTGCTTCATATTCAAATTTACCCAGCTGCCTCTAAAATATCTTTCAACAGTTTGTTACTAATCAGTATGCTAACAAGTCCACATTGCATTTGGTTATTATGTTTCATAGTTCTTTTTTACTGTAAAGCAGCACCCTCCCTCAATGACTTAATGAAGAAACCTAGTCATTTTTCCTATTGAGTATCCCACATTCTGGATTTGTCTGTATGTTTCCTCAGTCATAGGAGTTATGCTTTTTTCATTCATTTACTCAATAGATACGTAGTAGGAGCAGCATGGGAGCCAGAATCCTATAAAATGCAGTGGTTGCAATAGTGACTACATATTATAGCCCTTGCTCAAACAGAACAAAGTCATAAAACAATTACACAAAGTGTTAATTATTAGCAGTTGTGACATTTGCTAAGGGAAAGTACAAGTAATAAGAAATCACAGCAAGGGAACCCAACCTTCTTTAGGGGTCAGAGAGAGTATTTATTTTGTTCCAAGCATCTAGCACAATGTTAAGTAAGAAAAAATTCATTATTTCTGGGTTGGCAAGTGGAGTAAGTCTTCTTCACATATTACTCTTGTAAACTTAAAGGTCATATCACCACCCCTTGAGCTCTGAAGATCAAATCCAAATCTCTTAGGAGTCCAAGTTAGGGGAAACTGAAGGGCCAAACAGGTGGTTTCCTCCAGGTGAAATAAATTCAGAAGCATAATAAGGATTCAGAAAGTGGCTAAATAAAGCCAAAGGAAAAGACTGCATTTTCTGGACAACGAGTTTGGATATTAGGACAAATGAATTTTTGGCAAGGAACAGGATGAATATTATTGAAACCTAGAAGAACATGCTTAGTAGGCTATCTGCCACATTGCTCAAGAGGGCTTTTAAGTTAAAATTGAGGAAGGAAAAATGTCCAGGTACAGTATAGCAGAGGAGACAAATGATAACCAACACCTTCATTTTAAAAGATTATGGTATTGTTTTTAAAAGATTGTATGTAAAATATATTCGTTTTTATACAATACCATGTTCTTGAGACCAATGTAAATCTCCTTTGTTCGTACCAGATTTTAGTCAAGTTTTTGGAAAATAGCATGGTATCTGTTGGAGCATCTTAGAAAGAAATATGTTCTGTGATGGACTGAGCCATGTCCTCACCCTCCCCTCCAAATTCGTATGTTGAAGCCCTGACCTCTAATGTGTCTGTATTTGGAGAAAAGATCTTTAGGAAGCAATTAAGGCTAAATGAGGTCATTAGGTGTTCCTTTAAGAGGAAAAGAGACCAGATTTCTCTCTCTCCCCCAACCATATAAAGACATAACAAGAAGGTAACCATCTGCAAGCCAGGAAGAGAACCCATATCACAACCCGACCCTGCCAAATTCTGATGTGGAACTTCTAGCCTCCAAAACTGTGGGAAAATAAATCTGTTGTTCAAGCCACTCGCCTATAACATTTTGTTATGACAATCTGAGCTAATACACCTTCCTAATATTTTTCCCTCTCTAGTGTCTAAACTTTAAAGCTCACTCTTCTGTATGATTTGTAGAATACTTCTGCTCAACTTGTAGGATACATTGGAGACTAAGGCCAAGTGTATAAAAAAGTATACCCTGACACCTAACCAAGCCGAAAAGAGAAAAATAGTTAGTCAAGGCATTTTCTAAACCAAGGGATTAAAATGGAATGGGTGATTTTTATTTGCTTGCATTTATTTGTGAACTCTTGAAATGTCTTATTCTTTTCCATACAAATAGGAGCTCTCCTCAGGTGAACCAGATCTGGGTATTTTCAGCTGTGGTCAGCTTCTCTCTGAATCCCACTAGGGTTTGGTGATGCAGAGTAAACAAGGCTATAAATCAAATGCAATGCATTTAATACCTCAATGCATTGCAAATTGATCTGGAATACGGTTTTCAGCTCAAATCGCTTTTCAAGTGAACTTCCCCTGAAGGGAACCAATGGAAGTTAAAGATGGAAAAATCCTAAAGTTATATTGGATTCAGATGTGCAGCTCCTTTTCTGAGCGCAGACAGAGGCCAAGTTTCCTCAGGTGAGATTCTTCAGTTCTTTATCCAGTTTGAGCCATGGATATTTTAAAACACACATCCTTGTGGCTGGCATTAAATGTGAAAGCTGGTGGGCAAGTTTTCAAGAAATAAGAGCTACAAACAAAATAGCTTTCGTTCCATTCAGCATGCTGTGGGAAACGGCTAATGGACAAGCATTACTGTGACTGGCAAGGCAAGCTGCCAATAAATGATAGGCATAGAGATTCAAACCACTACATAACAGTAACACTTCCTAAGCTTATTTCACTAATTTGTCAAAGTAGGACATTATCTGAAGTGAAAGAAAAACGGGGTTGGAGAGCACAGGGGAAGAAACTATTTAAACGTAAAAGCCATGCTTTTTTCTCATTGGTTAGTTATCTCTGCCTCCAGTAATTATGGTTAGCTTCTGCCATTTCTTGATACCACATCTGGTTTTACCAAGGGCAACATTTCCTCCTTTTCAAATGACAAGCAGAGAGCTATTTCTGGTAGGATAAATTTCCATTGTTTGCTTATTCCTGCATTGTCTTTTTCCATTAGAAAGAAATGAAGTCCAGTGGTTGGATGGGAAGAAAGTGTGGTGTTCTCATGTGCCATCCCTCAGAGAGGTTGCTGGACATTGGGGGCCATATTGTCTTCTCATTTGTCATCTTTTTTTTCTGGAAAAAGAAGAACCTTAAGTGCTGTCTGCGATCTTTTCTCCATTTGCAACCCTTAAATCCCAACTCTTTCTTAAAATATTGAACAGACAAACTGTTAAGCAGTCCAATGCTTGCAAATTCTTATCTTCTGGAATGGAATAAAAACTACTCCATGGCCGGGCGTGGTGGCTCACGCCTGTAATCCCAGCACTTTGGGAGGCCGAGGCGGGTGGATCACGAGGTCAGGAGATCGAGACCATCTTGGCTAACACGGTGAAACCCCGTCTCTACTAAAAATACAAAAAATTAGCCGGGCGAGGTGGCGGGTGCCTGTAGTCCCAGCTATTCGGGAGGCTGAGGCAGGAGAATGGCGTAAACCCCGGGGGGCGGAGCCTGCAGTGAGCCGAGATCGCGCCACTGCACTCCAGCCTGGGCGACAGAGCAAGACTCCGTCTCAAAAACAAAAAACAAAAAACAAAAAACAAAAAAAAAAAACAAAAAACAAACAACAAAAAAAAACAAACTACTCCATAAGGGAAAAATAAGTTTACTTAATTGTATAGTTTTAAATCAGCAAAAAATTCAATGAACAATGTCCTAAATTCTATTTCAGATAGGCTTTTTTTTAGTGTAATGGTTAAGAGCACAGACTCTGGGGCTGGGCTATTTAAGGTCAAATGATATTTCTTTTTGTTGTTTTTGAGACAGAGTCTCGCTCTGTCATCCAGGCTGGAGTGCAGTGGCATGATCTCGGCCCAATGCAACCTCTGCCTCCCGGACTCAAGTGATTCTCCTGCCTCAGCCTCCCGAGTAGCTGGGATTACAGGTGCCCAACACCACGCACAGCTAACTTTTTTGTATTTTTAGTAGAGACGGGGTTCTGCCATGTTGCCCAGGCTGGTCTCGAACTCCTGACCTCAGGCAATCTGCCCAACTCTGCCTCCCAAAGTGCTGGGATTACAAGCATGAGCCACTGCGCCCCCTGGTCAAATGCTATTTCTAACACTTCCACTTGTGAAGATTTAGGTAAATTAATTTAAACTCTTTATGCCTCCATTTTCTCATCTGAAAATAGAGAATAATAATAGTTCTTCATTACAGGTTGTTGTATCTTGCAAAGAGAAAGAACTATATGAACATTAACTATTACTAAGACTATCTAAGAAAATAGCTAAAGGGCATTACCTTAATCTCACTACTATGTTAGTACTATTAAACAGTTATATGTAAAACCAAGTCAATGCTCACTTGTGTTAGGTCACATTATTCACCAGATAAGAAAAAAGTACAGGCATAAAATTCTTTCTTTAAAATTAGCCTTAACCGAGACTAAAATTTTACCAACAACACGAAGTATAAACTTGACTTTTAAAGGCAAGACATTCTACCTAAATCTACATGATTAAATGAAGAGTCAAACAAAAAACAAACCCTCACAGCAGCCTAGTCTAAAATATTGACATAATCTGAAGCATTGCTCTGGGAGCAAAATACATACTTTTGAGGTGATCTGTTATCAACTTCAGCCTTCAGTCGTAAATTCTCCCTCACCAGACCACCATTTTCCAATTTCAATTTTTTATTTGCCTAAAATAACAAATTGAAAATAAGTAAGCAAAAGCTACAATAAAAGTGACTTGTAAAAATTACAACATGAGCCATCCGTATTTTTTAGAGTGATAATATCAGAAAACTGAATAGTAGAACATGGCCTTCAGAAACTTAAAATCACTACTGGGAATGACTTCAGAAACTGAATACTACTGAGCATTTTAAAACCATATTCCCCAAGCACTTTGCAAATCTCCTGTCCAGGGAAATAAACAAAACTATGTTAGTTAGCTTAGAGTCATTAAGGGACCATACTAATGGCAAATGTATGTGTGATTTTTTTTCTTTTTCACATAACTGAATATTCTAGGCAAGGTAACATTATACCACATGCAATATCGGCAAACTAATGCTGAAGAGTTAATTCTTGAGCTTTGAAATTGATTTCTGGGGTGCTGTTTAAAAATTTTTTTCTAGTGATAACAAATCTAATATGATTTAACCACTTGATTTTTTCTCTTCAAAAAGGCTTTTCCAACGTTCTGGCTCACAACTTCTAGGGCCCTCAAAATTGGATCTATCTATCTATCTATCTATGTATCTATTTATCTATATTTTTTGAAAGAGTCTTGCTCAGTTGCCCAGGCTGGAGTGTAGTGGTGTGATCTTGGCTCACTGCAACCTCCACCTCCAGGGTTCAGGTGATTCTCCTGTCTCAGCCTCCCGAAGAGCTGGGACTACAGGCATGTGCCACCATGCCCAGCTAATTTTTGTATTTTAAGTAGAGACAGGGTTTTGCCACAGTGGCCAGGCTGGTCTTGAACTTTTGGCCTCAAGTGATCCACCTGCCCCAGCCTCACAAAGTGTTAGGATTACAGGTATGAGCCACTTGCCAGGCCTGGATCAGTATTTTCTAATAAATTCTATGAATTGTTCTTCGATTAAAAAAAAAATCCTTCCAAGTATGATTTTCTTTCTTGAATTGTATAACACCTAAAAATTACCTAACAGGACACCAATTGCTAGAAAATCTAGAGGCTCAACACTGATTCTGGACACACTGAAAACTAGTGTGCTTAAATTTTAGAGTCTTCTTAGAAGCTACTTCCTTTAAATTCCCTACTCATTGCTTTTATGTATTACAAAGAAAAATAACACTCCCTAGACTAGAAACCAACCTCACTAACCTGGGAAAGGGAAATTCTTTGACCAGAACATTTACATTTAAAGTGAATGGGTCACAAGAATAACTGTCACCAAAAAAGGTTTAAACCAAGAAGCCTTTAAAACGTATTTCAAAAATTTGGCTATTACTTAGATGAATTTCAAGAACTTCTGACTGTATTACTTACTTACCCACATAAGCTGCAGCACAAGGATCACAGAAGAAATAAGGTAGAGAACATTATTTGGGGGCATAAAGTCTAACTCCCTGACTTAGACCCATCCAGGTTCCCTCTGGGCTCTAGGCACCTGCTTATCTTCATGAATGCACACCAACCAGGACTGTGGAGAGTTAATTCTTTAAGTGACTGATAAACACCATTACTGCTTCTCTGAAGATATAAGGAAAGCCATTTACTTCCTCATATATGCAGACAATGAATTAAGCTCTCAAGCACAGCACCATAAGGGGAGGCATTTAGTGAATGCTTTTTGATGATGATGACAAGCTTAAATTAGAAACTCATTTGATTTCCTTTCCCCTTCCCTGCCCCCCACCACTACTGTATGGCTATGTTTCAGTCTCTCAACAGTCCTTTGACTCTCTAATACTTCTCATTATAGGCTGGCTAGTTCCTCAACTATCAGAGATCTTTTCAAGTTCAAGAAGGTTAGGTGAATAAAAGTTATGAAGGGCAGAGTTCTGCCTACCTTTTGCACCTAAAAGAATAATGAATATTTCAGCTAACCCTTCTGCATTCTCAACACTGATTGGGTAATGACACTGGCCTCACGATGGTTCAAAACTCACCCATTCCAGGTAACATCAGAAAAAAAGTCCACTTCATTCATGCTAAGTAATCCTTTATTCTGAATCTTTTGTATTCCTGTATTTGATTATGTTGAGTATGTTATTACTCCACACTTTAGTTTTTATCTCTGCAGTCCATGTTTTTTCATTCACTTATGTCCCAGTTTATAACCTATTACCTACTAGCATCACTAGGCATAGAAAATGGGCTTATTCAATATCCCAAAGAATTCTGAAGTCCCAGGGTAGCTTTGAGTATTGAATTTAACATTTGACCATTAAAAGAGCAAAGGAAAATTAACTGTGCTTTATGTATTCTTCTTTAATATCCATCCCTCATATCACCCTTATAAGCCTCATGTTCTAAGAAATATTTACTGCCAAAACTTTAAACGAAGTTTAATAACTACAAAGGAGATCATATAGTGCTTACCAATGGCTCAAGAAGAACCAGGGAAATTAAAGGGAACAAGGCAAATTGATAAATACTGTAATTTCCGAGTTGGCATTCCTTTTAGTATCCTATTGTCTTCTAACAAATCAAGGTACTAACACTGGTCATCAATACCCAAAGAAACTATGCACTTCTCCCTCCTACACACTTATAACAAACTCAGTACAATTATGTCTGTAGTTTCTTTTTTATCTAAAAGCACTAGGCTCTCTCTTCTCCTCACCCTGGCCTTTTCTGAGCCCAAACAACATTTATTTTATATGTGGAAGATGGCTTACATCTAAGTTGCAAGTATTTCTCTGCTACTTAACCTGAGGACCTGAGAGCCAATATACAGGGGAACTCCTTTAAAATACCATATGGAGCTCATTAATAATTTTGAGAGATAAGATTTAGTAATTTCACACAGGAATAGTATTTTAAGGAAATGCAAATAGTTGAATATGTGATTGTAGAACTGAGTACTACAAAGCCATCTCCTTTCAGCACAAGAGGACTCCACTGTGGATAAACTTGAACTCAAGCTAAAGGCTGATCACTTGGGTCAAGATGGTGTTGTAGGAGTTGCCTGTAACATCTAGTGCTGATGGCATGGATCTTATCTCCCTTTCTAGGCCGAAAAATCCTAGAGGTTTGCCTTTTTCACCATGCTGTATCTCGTTCAAAGAAAAACTGAAAAAAATGAACCAGTTTCATAAATCACAACATTCTTTTGCATGAGGTACTCTGAAGCAGCTGCTTATTGCTGTCCTGGAATTAGTCACCAAGTCTTTATCTATCTACAATCTTAAAAATAAGAGAGTGGTAGCAAAAGAAAAGATAAGGTCAAAACTTTTCCTTTCATTGGTGCGAAAATGGTTATGTGTTTGTTTTTAGGTACACAGGGGAAGTCGCTGATATAAGCTTAAAAAACCTATGGCAAACCACAAAGAGGACGAAACAGAAACACATCCTTTAAATTGGTATTATTCTTCTAGAAGAAGATGCAATCTTATACAGAAGCACAACAGTCTCTAATTATAGTCACACATGGAACCACCTGATATTTCTTGGCAGTTAATGATATTTAAATAAGAAAAAGTCTTCTTATTGCATATAAATGCTCATCCAGAGATTCTGTCCTTTCCTCACAAATCATCTGATGATGAGTCAAGATAATATGGCTATTTATGCTTTTGAAGGTACTTATTTTAAAAACAACCATAATAGATTTTTAAAAACCACAACTTACCTCCTTTAGCTTATCCACATCATCTTTCACTTTTTCATAGATTTCATTAGCTGTTCTGAGTTTTTTCTTCCACTCTGCTACAGTTTCTGGGTTAATTTTACTTGGATTATCTGTGACTAGATGTTTGTCTTCATTTTGGTTGCCCTGCACCAAGGTTAAAGGATCCAGAATAGTTTTGATCTGTGACTCCAAGCTGAGATTTTTACTCTTAAGCTCTTCTACTTCTTTCTGTAAACAATCTATTTCGTCCTGAAAAAGCATTGCATAGTCATGAGGCAGGCATAGACACTAAACACATACATACATATGCTAAACTGAAGCCAACATGGTTTGAATTTTGTACTTAAAATTCTGTAGATACATAGATTCTTTACATATCAAAAGAGTTTTGCAGGGAGAAAGTCACATACAGTTTAAATTCTCAAAATGTGGCCTGACTGATAAAAATTGGGATTTATGTTGCCTTCATTTTAATTCAATGTTAGTTGTGATTTTTAAAAATGCCAAATCTTTGATTCTATTTAAGATATCATCCAGGTGGAGAAATAGGAACACTTTTACACTGTTGGTGGGACTGTAAACTAGTTCAACCATCGTGGAAGTCAGTGTGGCGATTCCTCAGGGATCTAGAACTAGGAATACCATTTGACCCAGCCATCCCATTACTGGGTATATACCCAAAGGACTATAAATCATGCTGCTATAAAGACACATGCACACGTATGTTTATTGCGGCATTATTCACAATAGCAAAGACTTGGAACCAACCCAAATGTCCAACAATGATAGACTGGATTAAGAAAATGTGGCACATATACACCATGGAATACTATGCAGCCATAAAAAATGATGAGTTCATGTCCTTTGTAGGGACATGGATGAAATTGGAAATCAACATTCTCAGTAAACTATCGCAAGAACAAAAAACCAAACACCGCATATTCTCATTCATAGGTGGGAATTGAACAATGAGATCACATGGACACAGGAAGGGGAATATCACACTCTGGGGACTGTTGTGGGGTGGGGGGAGGGGGGAGGGATAGCACTGGGAGATATACCTAATGCTAGATGACGAGTTAGTGGGTGCAGCGCACCAGCATGGCACATGTATACATAGGTAACTAACCTGCACAATGTGCACATGTACCCTAAAACTTAAAGTATAATTAAAAACAAAAACAAAAACAAAAACAAAACAAAACAAACAAACAAAAAAAAGATATCATCCAGAAAATAAGAAAAGTCACATGAATTCCAACAGGGAAGTAGATTCCATTTCAAAAAAGAACAAAAAAACAAAAAACTTGAGGCATACTCAACTGCTTTACTGAGGGGAATTTGAAAGTACATTGAGGGGGGCCGGGTTAAAAAAAAAAAAGGTACAGTTTGTCCCCACCTCATCCCCACATCTACAGGGGATTGGTTCTAGGACCCTTAGGGATACCAAAATCCATGGATGTTCAAGTTCCTGATGGAAAATCACTAGTGCTGTATTTGCATATAACCTACATACATCTTTCCATACATTTTAAGTCATCTCTAGATTATTTATAATAACCAATACAAAGTAAATGTCATACAAATAGTTATTAAACTACATTATTTTTATATATATTTATTTTTTTAATTTTCAATCTTGGTTGTTTGAATCCACAGATGATGAATCCTTGGATATGGTGGGCTGACTGTACAGAGTTATCAAGATGATCGTGCCTGTAATCCCAGCACTTCGGGAGGCCAAGGCAGGTGGGCCAGCTGAGGTCAGGAGTTCAAGACTAGCCTGGCCAACATGATGAAACCTCGCCTCTACTAAAAATACAAAAAATTAGCTGAGTGTGGTGGCAGGCACCGGCAGTCCCAGCTACTTGAGAGGCTGAGGCAGGAGAATTGCTTGAACCCAGGAGGCGGAGGTTGCAGTGAGCCGAGATCATGCCATCTGCACTCCAGCCTGGGTGACAGAATGAGATTCTGTCTCAAAAAAGAAAAAGAGGATTGTTAGGGTTTTGATATTTATACTTTCACTTCTATATTTGAAGTATGAGTGAAACCATCTACCATTTCCTTCTACTTTTCATTCCAGAATAATATCTGTAGTTAATTTTGAATTTTCAACTTTTCTGGATTCTGGTTCTTCAATTACTACTGTGACTATTGCAAGTATTAGCCTTCCCACTCTGGAAATGTTTATTATCCTAAAACCAGTCACTAAACATTTGGGTTAGAACTTCTTACTATGATGCCATTTATTCATCTATAATAAATATGTCACCTTAAATTGAGGTTGTTAAAAATTCTGCTAGAAAATAAACCCCCAAGTAGCTCAAGTGATCTCCCAAAGGATTAATTTGTTTACCATCTGAGTATGATAAATATTCATTATATAAAAATACATTTTAGCATTAAATGTCACACAGATAGTACTACTTACTATTTTAAATTGCAATACATTTCAACTTAAATAGCATTTTCATAAAACAAGCAAATTCATATATGTAAGGAACACATATATGAATAAACATATATTCAATCATGTATTTATACCCCACTGCATTCCAAAAATTTTTGAGGCAGTTGAGGCACCTTCCATGTACACAGTTAAACTGAAAGATATTTTGAGTCAAGAGGGGATCGATATCTCCTTCTTCAGTCAACATAAAATGACAACTGGGCTTAATGTGTACTATTCAAAAGTGTATGTATTCTATTAGCATGAATTTATTTGTAAAAATAGCATCACCATGTCCAATCATCCTGTTCATTCACCTTTAGACAATAATTAGGAAACAGCATGTTTCACACTAAAATCTCTGTGCTGGCAGTTGACATAAGGTATAGTATTTACTTTACTAGAATTGATCAGGCTTATAATCATCAGTAACTTCATAGGCAGAAGCAACTGATGACTGCAGAGGTCAGACTGGCTTTCACAAGGAGATTTCCTTTTTCTCCCAACTTCTTGAGGAAGCAAATACAAAATGATATGTCTGTGGAGGTACAAATTTTAACTTAAAAAAAAAAAAAAAAGAAAGAAATGCTTCCATCTGTTCCTTTTTTCTGGAATCCCATTCCCCCATTCCTTGGTACTTAAAGAAAAAAAATAAAACAAAAAATCTCTTTCCTCTATTTAAAATACGAAAGGAAAAAAGAAAAAAGAATTTATCAAACAATTTCTTTTTATAGGCTTTTAAAATAAAATTTCATTGGATATTTACTCTAAGAAGTCTGGGGACTGAGGTAGGTCAGTTTTTACCTTGAATTCACTGCTAACATAATTTTAAACTTTGATTACTGTTTACCTCATATTCTTTGTGTAGTAATTCAAGTCTAGTTTTCCGAAGATGCTTCCTGACCGTATGGCTTAGCATAGGTTCACTTTCACTTGTTCCTCCTGTAGGGAAAAAAAAAAAAATCCTAATTTTTCATTCTGATTCGGGAAGAATGAAAATGATCCTTTTTCATATTGTTTTATATAGCTTCCCAGCTTCACATCTACCCTTCCCCTTACATACACACTTGGGGCTTACATCTAGGCCTTTTCTCTACCCTAATCTTGAGGAAAAAAAAATATATCAAATAACACCATAAGAAATACCTTCAGTAACACATCATATTGTATTTACATATCTACATATCTTATCACAGCAAACTCAGTGGAGGAAAGGGCTGTAATTATCACATTTGGACTACTTCAAATTCTGAAAACTAGACTATATTTAAATAATAAAACCAATTATTACATTTACATTTAACCAAGAGATTATATAAAAATGTATTACTGGCTGGGTGCAGTGGCTCACGCCTGTAATCCCAGCACTTTGGGAGGCCGAGGCGGGCGGATCACGAGGCCAGGAGATAGAGACCATCCTGGCTACAGTGAAACCCTGTCTCTACTAAAAATGCAAACAAACAAAATTAGCCGGGCGTGGTGGCTGGCGCCTGTAGTCCCAGCTACTCAGGAGGCTAAGGCAGGAGAATGGCATGAACCCGGGAGGCGGAGCTTGCAGTGAGCCGAGATTGCGCCACTGCACTCCAGCCTGGGCGACAAAGCGAGACTCCGTCTCAAAAAAAAAAAAAGTATTACTGCTATATACCTATGTATATAGATTAATGTGTCTTTTCACGGATTCTAACAGGCTAGTTACAATGGACTGTAAGTCATGGCATTAACTCTATGTCATGACTTGTTACAAATGCACTCACAATGAATTCTTCCTGAGAGCTCTTCACTGATGCTCTGGTTACCTTCTTTGTATTTTTTAGCATTATAATAATAGCAAAGGTATTTTACAGGTGTTCTTTTTCAGGATGTTCTATCCAAATGCAAAAATGGATGAACTATTTTCCTTGAGAGAATTTATGAAATATCACTTAGGTATGAATGAATAAAGGTAGGATATGGGATGAGAAGAAAAGCTGGGGGAAAATATTCAAATCATCAAAGCTCATATTCTGCAAGAAAAGACTTGACTCCTTGGTGAAATTCAGCAGGTAAAAAAAAACAGATAGAGGTTAACCCCGTAGCATGCAACACAGCAGAGAACCAGTCCTCTACCAGACTTCACCCAGGTACCAAGAGCCAACTCTGATTGCGCCTTCAGATCTCTTATTTCCTAAGTCCTACTAGTTCTTCTTTTGCTCTGTAGCATATATATTCCTTTCTATTTCCTTTGTAAAAATCTTGGCTGGGCACGGTGGCTCACGCCTGTAATTCCCAGCACTTTGGGAGGCCAAGGCGGGCAGATCACCTGAGGTCGGGAGTTCGAGACCAGCCTGACCAACATGGAGAAACCCCGTCTCTAATAAAAATACAAAATTAGCCGGGCGTGGTGATGCATGCATATAATCCCAGCTACTTAGGAGGCTGAGGGAGGAGAATCGCTTGAACCCAGGAGGCAGAGGTTGCGGTGAGCCGAGAACGCGCCACTGCACTCCAGCCTGGGTAACAAGAGCGAAACTCTGTCTCAAAAAAAAAAAATCTTATTTAAGTCCATTTTCCCTAACTTGGGACTATTACAATGACTTCTTAAGTTTTCTGAAAAATGTTTTCTATACTTGGCTAATTGTAGATTCACTTTCAATTTTTCCTATAGCAAAAACAAGTAGAAATCATTTTAATTTTTGCAACCTAAAATAAATAACTTATATGAGTAGAATAAAAACCAAACTCTAAAAAGGCTCTTTAGAAGTTCTCCTTTTCAAGGATCCTCTAGTTCAAGCTTTACTCCTCCCCCACCCCACCAATATTAATGTGACATAGAATTTGTTTTCACCCTTAATCCAAACTTACATTTTCTATCACCTAGGCAAAAGCCTCCTACCAGACCTACTCACATCCTGTCTACTCCTATAGTCCAACCTATGTATTACCACAAGTAATATTTGTAAAGCACATTTTGGATCATACCACTCCCTTGCTCAAAACCATCATGCCCAATTCACCCTTCTTCTTAGTCCTAGAGCAAGTCCCTGATTTAGCTGTCATTCAAGGTTCTCTGCACTAAAGTCTCAATTTACCTTTTGTCTTATCTCAGTAGTCGGACCCAAAGTAGACTACTGATCATTTCTAAAAACATGCTCTGGGTTTTCCTGTATCTAAACTTTTTAGTTCATGCTATTCTCCCTGCAGGAAATGCCCTCCTTAATTTTCACCGTTGAAATGTTATCCATCCTTAAATTTAAATGTCCAGCTTAAAGGCCACCTACTTTATGAAGCCCTTCTCGGTGTTCTTAGCTGAAGTTTCTTGCCTGAACTCTCTGGGCTTTTTTGGGGCCCTTAGCACTTGCTGCTTTTCTTTTGGTTCAGTTGCTATGAAAATGTAAGTTCCGTGAGGCTCTCAGGGTTATTCCTCTTAGCACCTCTCAGTGCCTTGTGCCCCAGTTGCTCCACATATACATTACACAAATTACTCAACCACTCAGTATTATGTTGGCCAAATAGCATCACTGAAAATAGCCTATTTCAGTCTTCCTCGAAATATAAATTATTTGGAGATTGTTTCAAACCTATTCCTATGCATATATAAAACAGGCCCTTACCTATAATTTCTTTGCAAGGATTTTCAGGAGTGATGGGGACTCTGCAAGCTGGACACTGGCTATTATTCTTCAACCACAAATCAATACAAATCGAACAAAATACATGGTTGTTGATGCATATGACAGGCTGACGTACCTTTGAAAAAAGAAATCACTTTTAGTACAGGACAACGGTCATAATTAGAAGATCAAATGGTTTAGTTTACAGCAAACTGCTTCTCTAGATTATAGCAGAGTAGGAGTTTAAGAAGGGATATCTAGCGCTTTTAAAAACACTGCTTCTGTTGGTCACTTTTCTTTTTACACATGTTTAACAGAGATACTAGATGAGATACTGGATCATGGAGACTGAAGCTTTTGACATATAAAATGCTTTATTTTGTACCTAAACCACAGAATTCATGCCAAAAAGAAAATGCTTTTTGTTCCACTAAGGCTGGGACAATTTTGCTCAAACTCTTCTATTTTAGCATTATAGAACAGCAGGATTAGGTTTTTGAAAATATCATTTAGCACAATCATCCATCTGATGCCCGAATCCTTTTCTCAATTCATTCCACTGTTACAGAATAACAGCAACTATTAAATATTGTATTGATACTTTACTAGAAATTCCCCAAAACCAAACAGTAATGAAAGCTAAAACAACCCAAAAGGCATGAGCTTCACTCTCAAGTAGTTTATAATCTAAACAGCAAACAATGCAGACAGAATTACTGAGATACACCAAATACACAAATCTTTGACTCCAGGCTCCATTTAAACAAGCACAAATAATAATACCTTACATTTATAGCATTTTTTTTTGAGACGGAGTCTCGCTCTGTTACCCAGGCTGGAGTACAGTGGCACCATCTAGGCTCACTGCAACCTCTGCCTCCTGGGTTCAAGCAATTCTCCTGTCTCAGCCTCCCGAGTAGCTGGGACTACAGGCGCCTGCCACCACGCCAGCTCATTTTTCTATTTTTAGGAGAGACGGGGTTTCACCACATTGGTCAGGCTGGTCTCAAACTCTTGACCTCAGGTGATCTGCCCACCTCGGCCTCCCAAAGTGCTGGGATTACAGGCGTGAGCCACCGCGCCTGGCCTGTAGTCATATTTTACAAACGGCTTTCACATGCATCTTTCACCGCCCCAACCCTTTTCCATCTCTTTTTTTAAAAATACCACAACTTGGTGAGGTAAACTGGGTAAATATGCTTTACAAATAAGAAAACAAAGGCATGAAGAAATTAGGTAGCTTGCTCAGGGTTAACTGGGTGTGTTGACTGTTTGTAGTTGTTTTATCAGGAGGAAGAAAGAAAAGAGAAGCTGCTTTGGTTTTCTCCACAGCATTTATATTACCTGATATTATACTCGTGTTTACATATTTATTGTCTATCTCCCTTATCAGAATGGAAACTCCATGAGAGCAAGAACTTCTTTACTCTCATTCATAACTAAACCTTTAGTGCCTAGAAGATAGCTTGGTA
Organism: Homo sapiens; assembly: GCF_000001405.40. Taxonomy (NCBI): domain Eukaryota; kingdom Metazoa; phylum Chordata; class Mammalia; order Primates; family Hominidae; genus Homo; species Homo sapiens. The sequence continues at coordinate 78,646,334 of NC_000013.11, forward strand.
CTTAGCAGGTACTCAACAAAGGTCTGTTGAATGATTAACTGCTATTAAGATAGTGTTAACATTCAACTAGTTGGGAAAGTTGTCAGAAGGAAATAATGATTTAATATTTTTTGAAATAGCACAAATTTAAAAATACAAACAAAAACAGCACAGAAAAATGTAGTCTTATCACTTGATTTACATGGTCTCTTCACGGTGGGACTCAAAACATTTCATAGCCATTTTCAATATTTCCCTAATAGTAATTACAGTATAGAACCCTTCTGCACTAGGAACTGGAAGACTAGGTCAAGGGAAAGCAGAGTAAGTAGAGGGAGAATGAAGAGGCAGAACCACCACAAACCACTTTTCTCGGAGAAAATGCTTGTGCTACTCTATGTCTGCCTTAAAAGAATCTACTGAGTATTCATTAATTTAAAAGGGGCCCCCACCTCTCAAAGAATTAATAGATGCATAGCTATTCATGACTGTAGGGAAAAGAAAGAGAGATCAGACTGTTACTGTGTCTATGTAGAAAAGGAAGACATAAGAAACTCCATTTTGACCTGTACCCTGAACAATTGCTTTGCCCTGAGCTGTTAATCTGTAACTTTGCCCCAATCCTGTGCTCACAGAAACATGTGTTGCATGGAATCAAGATTTAAGGGATCTAGGGCTGTGCAGGATGTGCCTTGTTAATAAAATGTTTACAGGCAGTATGCTTGATAAAAGTCATCACTATTCTCCATTCTGGAGTAACCAGGGGCACAATGCACGGCGGAAAGCCGCAGGGACCTCTGCACAGGAAAGCCGGGTATTGTCCAAGGTTTCTCCCTATGTGATAGCCTGAGATATGGCCTCATGAGATGGAAAAGATCTGACCGTCCCCCAGCCTGACACCCGTGAACGGTCTGTGCTGAGGAGGATTAGTAAAAGGGGAAGGCCCCTTGCAGTTGAGATAAGAGGAAGGCCTGTCTCCTGCCTGCCCCGGGAATGGAATGTCTTGGTATAAAACCCTACTGTACATTTGTTCAGTTCTGAAATAGGAGAAAAACCGCCCTGTGGCGGGAGGCGAGACATGTTGGCAGCAATGCTGCTCTGTTACTCTTTACCCCAATGAGATGTTTGGGTGGAGAGAAGCATAAATCTGGCCTACGTGCACATCCGGGCACAGTACCTTCCCTTGAACTTATTTGTGACACAGATTCCTTTGCTCACATGTTTTCTTGCTGACCTTCTCCCCACTATCACCCTGCTCTCCTACTACATTCCTCTTGCTGAGATAGTAAAACAGTAATCAATAAATACTGAGGGAACTCAGAGACCAGTGCCGGTGCAGGTCCTCCATATGCTGAGCACCAGTCTCCTGGGCCCACTGTTCTTTATACTTTGTCTCTGTGTCTTATTTCTTTTCTCAGTCTCTCGTCCTACCTGATGAGAAATACCCACAGGTGTGGAGGGGCTGGCCCCCTTCAATGATGGGCAGGTAATCATTTGAGTCTCGTTACAAAGAGCTCTGGTCTCAGTCTGGCTTTCTGAACATTCTGGTTCTCCCTTGATTATGAACACTAACCCAAGAAAACTAAACAAAGATAATCTGGAATAGATTTAAACTTCTTGGAGAAACTTAATTCTAAGCATTCATTTCAACTGGTTTGACAGATTCATTAAAAAAAAAAATAATGAACCATAGTGTTTCAAAGTCTTCTTCCAAAGTGGTCCTACCAGCAGCCAGGAGTGAACGCTTATCTATAAAGTATTCCTGGTCAGAGTCTCAAATGGCAGACAAACCTGAACTTTCTTTGCAGGTTCTATTTTTTTTCTTAAAAATTCATGTGATTTGCAAGTCCAGACCATAATATATTCATATATGTTTTAATTTCATCTTTATGTCATGAAATCTTTTAAGAGCACAAAAATCCCAAACCAAGAAGATACTGCCTTATCTATCCTGTAACTTCCCCCAAACACACACACACACACACACACACACACACACAGACACACACACCCCTGCAATATTCCTAGAAGTACTATATGCCCCAAAATTAGGAAGCTCAGGTAAAAAAGGAAGTTATCTACTGTTATCTACTTTTATAGTAAGTTATTTTTTATAAGTTATAAACTCATCTGAAAATGGATAAAAGCCAATGCTCAAGACATAAAAGTGTGCACATTATATGAGAGGATTCAAGATGCTCTGCCAATCTTTCCATAAAAAAAAACACATTTAAAAGCAAAGCGTGCACATTATATGAGAGGATTCAAGATGCTCTGCCAATCTTTCCATAAAAAAAACACATTTAAAAGCAATCAGTAGGTCGGGCACGGTGGCTCACTCCTGTAATTCCAGCACTTTGGGAGGCCGAGGCGGGCTGATCACCTGAGGTCAGGAGTTTGAGACCAGCCTGGCCAACATGGAGAAACCCCATCTCTACTAAAAATACAAAATTAGCAGGTCTTAGTGGCGTGTGCCTGTAATCCCAGCTACTTGGGAGGCTGAGGCAGGAGAATCACTTGAACCCGGGAGGCAGAGGTTGCGGCGAGCTGAGATCGCACCATTGCACTCCAGCCTGGGCAACAAGAGCAAAATGCCATCTCAAAAAAAAAAAAAAAGAATCAGTATTTTTCATGTATTTGCTCCCACAACAAAGGTTAAATATTATCTCCCCAATCTATGAAATGGTTTTGAGCAACTCAGTAGTTGGTGTTATCATATACTGAAGTGGCAAAGACAAGAAAAGCAGATTTCGCACAAGGTAAAAATCAAGAATTCTGTTTTAGCCATGCTAAATTTGTGATGCTAAGCCCATTTTTAAGTGGACAAGTTCAACAAGGCAGGTTTTGAGTCACTGCCATAAAAGACATGAGCATATAAGGCCATAGGACTGGAGGAGATCTCATGAATGGACAAAACAGCTGGAGAAAAGAAGGCACTCCAGCAAGCAAAGGAAGAGGAAGAGCAACCAGCAGAGGAAACTGACAAGGAGGGGTCCTGTGATGTAGGAAAGGAGAATATGATATCACAGAAGTCAAGGCAAGAAAGTTTTTCAAGAGAGAGGCAGCGGCCAGATAAGTAAAATATTGATGTGAGATTGAGTTTGATGTGCACTGAGATGTGACTATGGGATTTAACTGCTTGGAAGTCACTCTGATCAGTTACCGACAAGCACTGTTTCAGCGAATGTTGGGGATGGAAACCTGACTGGAGGTTGAGAGACAATGAAAGATGAAGAAGTGAAGACAGAAAATACAGACAATTCTTTCATGTTTTGCTGTAAAGGAGAGAGCATAAAAATGAGACGACGGTTAGGAATACCAATGGGAATGATAAAGAGAGGATATTAGTGATGGATGAAGAGTGATGGGGGTATTACAGCGATAGGCAACAAAGTCCCTAAGAAGTCAAGAGGGGAAAGGGATCCAAAGCACAAAAGGAGATTTTGGCACATACAGGAGTGAGGGTTTGTCTTCTTTTGCAACAGAAGGGAAAATAGGGGGTGTGTGAACAAACACAAAGGGGTTGGAAGATCTGTGGATGGAAAAATGAGGAAATTCATGTTCCCACTATCTCAGCTGCTTATCTTTTGTCATCAAATATGAGGTGAAGTTATCAGCTGAAAACGAGAAGGGAAGTGGGTTACAGATTTGAGAAGACAGGAGAATAAAGCAGTAATTTTGAAAAGTGAGAAAGCTAATTTACTAGGGATAGGTAGCAGATTGCTATACATTGTTGAGTTCCTTTTCCAGGTCTGTGGTTTCTAATGCAAAGTAAGATTAATTAACGTAGGTGTGTATTTTTCTTATCAATATTTAGCTGTGGAGACTCAGGAAGGAAGTAGATGAGTAGTTTGGTTTACCCAGAGTTGGGGTTTTGCCAAGGAGGAAGAGACAGGGACTGATGATAACAAATGACCACGAATAATAAGGGAAACAAGTACACAAGCGGTAATGATAACAGTGAAAAAGTGATAGGGTCAACAAAAATGTCTCCATGAGGTTGAAGTAATGGTAGAGAATAAGTATGATAGAAACAGGATCAGAGAGTGGGATGCTTATAGTCAAGATACTAAAGGTGGTATAACTGCCTTCTCTAATGTTTTGTTCTGGGCCATCTTATCTGATGTGTTCTATTTTCTCTCTCAATCTCATGTGTCACATGGCATTAACATCTATTCTATGCTGACAACTCCCAAGTCTCCCTCTGTAACTGGAGTCAGTAAGTGGCAGAGCTTAGGCTCTGACAGACAAACCTGGGGCCAACTCCAGTTCTGCCATTTATTGAGCAGTCTGACCTTGGGTAAGCCCTTTAGCTACTGTGGGCATCAGTTTCTGCCTCTGAAAACTGTGGCTTAACCTAGTAACCTTTTCATTCAGGTTTAAGATAATATAATGGATGTCAGCACAGACACTTCTACATAGCAATCCCTCAAAAAAAAAAAAAAAGGTAATATTACTATATCCAAGTGCCTAGGAGCCGACTACATATAAGGATCCTGCAGCTGCCTCAACCATAATTTGGCCTCCACTACACACTTGCTCCTCTTCCTGCACACCCTCCCACCTAAGTTAATGAGATCACTACTTCTCCACTTGAGCTACAACAGAGCTATCTCTGAATCACTCTTTTTACTTATCCTCACCATCCAAACTGTCACCAGACGCTGGTATTATACATTAAGTCTAAGAAGCCACAGATTTGAAGATTCACCAATATTTTATGTATCACTAAGAATGAAAAACTGTCAATTACAATTGTTAAGATACAATCAGATTCCAGAGATGTTATAATTTGAAAAAAAATGTACATCTCAGAATAGTCAAAACATGACAAATCTACCTCCAAACATTCTTTCACCTCTCATCTATCCTTTCCTTTGCATCTTCACCCCAATGAATTTAAGGTTCTCATTCTTTTGTCTTTGATCTACTGCAATGACCACCTCCCAAGCTTCCAAATGTTCATTTCAGTACATCTTTCACAATGATGCCAGAGCTACCTTCCTAAAATATGAATAAGCAGCTTTCACTCCTCTCCTACAAAACAGTAATGATTTTTTTCCTGCTCATAGTTCGAGGTATAGCCTTCAAAGAACATAATCTAATTCTTAAACAGCCATTTCCCTTGACCTACCATTTCAATATTTGACACAATGCACACTTCAACCTCACAGGTCTACTTATGTTCACCAATAAGAATATGAACACTGGGGGCTCCCTGTTTATGGGGCTCCCTATTTATAGAGCTTCCATTTCTCAGCTTGATATATCCTCCTGGTCTCTCCATCCTCCTGACAGTAATAAAAAAAAAATTCCTTCCCTCCTTTTAAGATGCAAATAAAATGCCACCTCCTCTGCAAGCCCTTCATTAATCTTTTTCAGAATTAACCAAGTCTTTGATAGGGCACTCTCTGTTCATTTATTTAATGTTCACCTCTTTCTGCATTGTGCTGTACTTAGAAACTGCTTACATCCTGTCTTCCTTATTAGATTTCAGGCTCACTGACAATAGGGTGAGTGTCCTTCTCATCTCTAACAACTGCAAGATTAATAAAAGTGAATTTTGATGTACTATAATGAAAGGCTGAGATAACAATCCTAAAAGTGCTTCAAGCAGCAAAAGGTCAACAGCCACTGTCAAACTGTAAAAAAGCAAAAGTTTAACCTCCCCATTTAATATGACAAAATGATACAGAACCACCACCACAGGCCGACTGCTTGGCTCTGTCTGCTAAGAGTCATTAACAATGTCACCCACAGGAAAGTTTTCTGCACCTTTGGATACCTGGTATTATCACCACCTTTGTGTTGGGAAGATTTCGGAAACAGGTGACTAATTCATTTCTTTGGAAATGAATATTGGAATGAGTATTTATCAGATGATGATTTCTAGACAACTCAATGAATTTATCTTACGAGAATAGAAATTTCTAAAGAACTACTAAAACAAGTTACTTGTTATATATTTGACTGTAATCTGTGGTAGCAAAACACAAAGAATCTAGCACCCATCCTCTTCTACCCAGATCCTGCTCTGGGTAGAACAAAACACACACATAATTTTCTTTAATAAGATCTTCCCAAGACAAAAAAAAAAAGGTCATCATTTGTCACATTATTAGACTTTCTATCCAATTTACTCTCAAATGAGACCCGTGGCAATAAAACAGTACTCATGAAATAAAAATGCAAGACAAAAAAATGGCAATGGTAAGTGACATACAATTCCAAACTCATCTGGAGTAAGCATAGTAAAGTGGTATCCTAGGGAGCGGTCCCCAACCTTTTTGGCACTAGGGACTGGTTTCGTGGAAGATAATTTTTCCACAGACTGGGGGGTTTCACCTCAGAACATCAGGCATTAGACTCTCCTAAGGAGCACACAATCTAGATCCCTTGCATGCACAGTTCACATTTGGGTTCATGCTCCTATGAAAATCTAATGCTGCCTCTGATCTGACAGGAGGCAGAGCTCAGGTGGTAATACTATCTCACTCCCTGCTCGCCTTCTGCTGTGCAGTCCTGGTTCCTGATAGGCCACTGACTGAACAGTACCTGACTGAGACTGGAGACTCCTGCCCTAGGGTATATCCCCCAGGTGTAAAGGATGGGCTCTTCTTACTGGAATGGGCCTGAGGGGGCAGTTCTTGGGGCAGATATATTAACCTTACAATCTGTTACTCTGATATTTCATTTCTTTTAAAGATGTTCCAGTCTTAAGAGAGTCCACTCTACCACCAAATCCCCTTTCTTAAAAAAGCAAGTATACTTGGGCAGAGACATGCCTAAGGCTGTTGTTCATTAATATCCATATCATCCTAGACTTACCCACTAGGAGTTACACATTGGCTTCAAACAGCGTTTCTCAACTTTGACATTACTAACATTTTGGACTGAAGAAAGTCTTGTTTTAGGCGGTTCCCTGCATATTACAGGATGTCTGGCTAGCAGCATCCCTGGGCTCTACCCACTAGATGCCAGTAGCAGCCCCTTGAAAACAATGAGAAATGTCTCCACACACTGCCCCATGTCCCTGGGGGACAAAATCTACCTCCACCTAGTTGAGAACCACTAGTATGGTATAGTCAAAGGAATCTTACTAATAAGCTAGTGGGGCTGTTGTATCAAATCCATTTTCAGTTGTGGAAACTGAGACTCTAAGAAATAATGATACAGGTTATAAATGGTAGAGCTAGCATTTGTACTCAATGTGATTCAACTGCAAAATCATGTGTTCTTTCAACTAAGAAACAGTTCTTTCTTCCTTGGAGCAGGGTTAGTGAACAATAATCTGGGAGAAATAAATACAGGACGATGTGCCTGAAGGAAGTGAGATCCTGGACACTGATGGAGGTGATGGGAGTGAAGACGGTATTGATGAACTTTACCAACTGGTCTTGCAATTATATCTATTATAAAACCAACTCCCCTGCTCTTCTGGCATCCTCCCCTCACTAGAGACAAGAGCCAACTGTGCTTCTAGAAAGAATATTATTCTTTCTTGCACCTTGTCAAAACTTTATCGGTTTCTCTAGTGAAGACCTGGAAAGACTATGTAAAGGATTAGTCTTCAGTGTAAAAATGACTATGGTAGGGGCACCACTACTTCAACATTAGGAATTTGGAAACTTTCCAAAATAAAATTCCTGGATAGCTCTTGGTTATGTTTTAAGAAATCCCTGGTTCTGGGCCAGAATTTAGGTCCTATAACTTAAGGAAAAAAAAAAAAAAAAAACCTGTGTGAAATAAGTCACTTAATGCCTATAGAACTGGTTCCCCATTCCTGTCTAGGTAAAAGGAGAGATGATACATCTCTTCTCTTCTACCTTCATCCCTACCAGAAATGCTTTGGGATAAACTGGAATTGTACTTGTCAAGTAAGTATGTCAGCTATTACATACCAACCCTGATAATTACTAGGATACATCTACGATTTTTGAATTAACTTATTATACACTATGTATAAAATGCAATATTGTTATACTTTTCTGAAAGTGAATCCTTCAAACTTATTTTCAACTGGAAAAAAGAGAAAAATGTAGAACTTGCAGTCCATATGGCTTTTTTTCAAAGCAAATTACTTATGACAATTATGTACAAGGCTGGTTCTTAAATCCACTCTTGGGAACTGAGAGGCAATCAGGACTCAAACATGGGCTCCATGTACTGACGTGGATGACTTGCTGATCAATCAACAGCTCCAAGTGAACAGTGATTAATGAATTTTGTCATCCTAGAGTGAGGACTCTAAGTTGCATAAGGCTTTGTCTCTAGCCCTATATTTTCAATATTTTAAATAAACAATATGGGTGAGAAGAAGAGAGGCATCCCTGAAAGAAGGGATCCTTTTGATAGCATTCCTTATGGGAAACAGTCAGTCTACTAGAGGATACTCCAAGACACAGGAACTCCTGCATTATAAGGAAGCTGATTTCATTTCTGGTTATTTCAGCCAGAACACTTGCCCTTAATATTAAGTAGAAATCATAATTTTATGGAGCCACACAAGGCTTGAGTCCCTTCCAAATGAAAAATATTTTAATTAAAGATTCCCTATCATATCCATTCATTCCAGCACTATTCCAGTCCACCTACATTCCAATCCCAATTTCATTCTCCCCCAAATGTTTTCAAAATACTCTGGTTTATTGTTTATCTTAAAGGGTAGGACCCAAAACTGGACTCATAGTCGAATGAGAAATAACTGAATATGATACATTAATGCTGAAAAGCATTAGTTGCTTTGCATTTCTCTTGAGAATCTCCTTCACCCTTTCATAAAACCAACTGCGGGCCACATTTGGCTTTCACTCATGGCAAAATGCATGCACGGCCAATAAAAAGTATTACATGCCATAATTTGGTTTCACAGCTTGAGTCCCAATTGAAAAGATAAACCCTGGAATTATCTAGAGGTAAACTGGTTTGTAACAGCCTGGTGGCACTATCAAAATGTCACTTAACAGATACTCTGGGATAGATCATTACTACATTTCTGCTTGCTGGCCCACTAGTTTAAGAAACAAACAAACAAAAAAAAAACAGGGAAGAATAGGTAAGAAAATATGTTATGCGTAAATCATCCCATGGGATGGTACCTAACTTCTTCAGGCCACATAGAGCTCTTACTTACAATATTGGCAAAGTAACTAAAAACATTATTGGGTAGAGAAAATTCACCTTTAAAACTGAAGTAGAGACAGAGGTGTAAATTTTCCAATTTTAAGTGCAAAGACAAAGCATTAACAGGTGAATACCTGGGCTCTCTCTCCTTCCTCTCCATCCCCACTGGCATCTATCTCTTCAGATTTAATGCCCTGCCCTCATCTCTCCCCCTTCATGGTATCCACCTTGTGACCCTCCAGGGATAATGGTCCTTAATTCTGTTGAATAATCAAAAGAGAAGATGCTGACTGTGAGATCTGGGGACATATGGTAACAGTAGCACAAGAACAATTATCTTTAAAAAAGAGCTAGGCACGAAGGACCTTAGGAACATTCTTAGAAGTGGCCAGAGATGCTCTATGTCAGGGAAGCAGAAGCGAACCTGAGGACACGCCAGTTTTAGTATCTCACAGTATAATACGTGTAGGAGGGTGAGCAGCACAATCATACTGAATTTGCTTTCACTATAAAAAAGAAAAGAGACATGGAACCAGCTGAAAATTCTGGATGTACTGTGGCAATTTCCAGAACAAACAGGTCTCATTTGGTTGGGAATGCAAATCTTCATTTTGAAGTGCTCCAGCCTCACAAAGCAACTGGGAAGAACAATTACTGGAAAAGGCTGGTTTCCTCAGTTTGAGGGCTGGCCTCAATGGCTATAGTAAAAGCTAACAGTTATTAAACATTATGTGCCAGACTTTATGCTAAACTTTGCACATGCTTTGTTTAATCTTCTGAAAACTGAAAGGATGGGGAGTTGATGTTATTACCATATTTTTACTGTTACAGATAAGGAAACAGGCTCAAAAGAGTTAAGTAACTTAAGCTGGGAGTGGTGGCTCACGCTTGTAATCCCAGCACTTTGGGAGGCCGAGGCGGGCAGATCACCTAGTTCGGGAGTTCAAGACCAGCCTGACCAACATGGAGAAACCCCGTCTCTACCAAAAATACAAAATTTGCCGGGCGTGGTGGCGCATGCCTGTAATCCCAGCTACTCAGGAGGCTGAGGCAGGAGAATTGCTTGAACCCGGGAGGCGGAGGTTGCGGTGAGCCGAGATCGCGCCATTGCTCTCCAGCCCGGGCAACAAGAGCGAAACTCCGTCTCAGAAAAAAAGAAAAAAAAAAGAAAAAAAGTTAAGTAACTTGTAAAAGGTTGTATGAGTGGTAAGTGGTAGATTAGATTAGAACCCGGCTAGCCTGAATGTAGAACTCAGGCCCTCAGTCACATATCCTTTCTGCTTCCATGGTACCTGGGGGGGGGGGGGGAGGAGCCTGTTTAAAAATCCTTAATTAATTAATTTTCTTTTATTTTTAATTTTTTTTTTTTTTTTTTTTTTGAGACAAAGTCTCACTCTTGTTGCCCAGGCTGGAGTGCAATGGCGCGATCTCAGCTCACTACAACCTCCGCCTCCCAGGTTCAAGCAATTCTCCTGCCTCAACTGGGATTACAGGCGCCTGCCACCACACCCAGCAAATTTTGTATTTTTAGTAGCGATGGGGTTTCACCATATTGGCCATGCTGGTCTCAAACTCCTGACCTCAGGCGATCTGCCCGCCTCGGCCTCCCAAAGTGCTGGGATTACAGGCGTGAGCCACCGCGCCTGGCTTAACCTTTTTGAGCCTGTTTCCTTATCTGTAACAGTAGAAATATGGTAATAACATCAACTCCCCATCCTTTCTGTTTTCAGAAGATTAAATGAAGCATGTGCAAAGTTTAGCATAAAGTCTGGCACATAAGATTAAGACAAAAGTCTTAATCTTTTTATTTTTATTATCTGATTTTTATTTCAGAATAAAGTTAACCAATACAGGAAAAAAAAAACACTAAAAATGCCTGATGTCATGGATGAACTTAGGTGAGGGTTTTACGAAGTAATCTGAAGACAAATGGTAATAATGATAGAGGTTCAACTATGAAGACTCAAAGTCTTAGTATTCTGAAGACACAAATGATAGTATAGAGGTTCAACCACAGACTCTAAGCTTTAATATTCTTATTTTAAAAATGGAAAAACCAGCCCTATCTTAAAGCATTGGTGTGAAGAGTAAACAAAATAATATATGCATACAAAAGCACTCTGTAGTCTGCAAATCACTATATTCTATGAGGTATCACTCTCGTTAAATACAAAAAGTATAGGTTTGGTAAATCAAACAGAACACTGTCAATACAATTGCAAAAGACAGCCTATAACTAATGGAAACTATATATAATGTGTACAAAATACTTCCCAAGAATATTTTTATCAGCCTTTAAAGCCAGTGTTGGAGGAAATTAACTCAGAATTTAACACATATTTCCAGGAACTTTATGTCAGGAGCCAAATGTAGACTGTGGCAAATAGAAACATCGCTTCTTCCCTCCCCCTAGCCGTGCAGGCAGTAAGTAATAGCTCAATGCCAGCTCAAACACCATCCTCGATGAGGCCATCCTTGATCTCTCCAAATTGATCAAGCCATCCCCAATCCATGATCTCCCAGCACATTTGCTATTTCATTGGCATTTCATTCTGACTGCTATCCAGAATTATCAGTTGCTTCCAATGCTGACTTTCTTCTACTTTTTGAATCCAGTAAATTCACACAGAACTTCAAACACCCCAGGCAGATCGTATTGGCCGGCACTCAAATGCTTGCTCTAGAAGTTTGTATTTCTCAAATCTGAGTCTACGGCTCAGTCTGCGCTGGGGGGTAAACACACACCCTGACACACCACAGACGTAAAAATAATTCAGGGTGGAAAAAAGTTGGTGGTTTATCTTTCCCCTTCTTTATCTATTCGGTAAAGAAATGCTCTTTAAAACACCGAAAGTGAGGCACAAATGGAAATGAAAGAGGAGAGGAATGCATTAGAATATTCAAAGCTCCGTTTCTAATTCAGAACCACTTTCCCTACCTTGTTTCACAAACACACTAGGCACCTCTTGCATCACAAAGAGAGAGTATTCTATCTCCTGACTGACCCATTCTTGGAGTTAAAAGCCACACCTCTTATTCTAATACCCTCCAGGAGCACTTACTATTTACTTTTCAAATTAGGAATTCAGAGCAAAGGTCATCCTCAAGGCCAGGATAAAGGCAAAAGGTCTTGGAAATGGAAAAGACTCAATACACAGCACCGTAGGCCCCAGAGGATGAACACTAGTTACAGAGGACTAAGAAGCCCGAGGTGAGGCTCCCAGGAAATGTGTTTTAATGGGCTTCACTACACGCCACGCGAGGCTGCAGAGGGAAGTTAAATATCCCTGCGATGCGTTTCTGATGGGGCCTCCTTCGAGGCCGGTGTCTTGCCAGTGTGAGGCCGCGGGCGGTGGCAGGGCCGTCTCGCCGCCCTCCCGGCAGACCACGGGCCGCTGTCACCCTCCTCCGAAAGGCGCCCAGATGAATCCATTAATCACGGTGCGCTACCCCCATCTCCCAGGACGCGGCCTCCCATCAAGAACGCGGGTTAGCGTTTTCTCCCATCTCCGCGCCTCACGCCCCTTCCCCGCCCCCGCACGAGACGGCCCTCGGCCCCGGCGAGCGACTTATCCAACCCCGTTTTGTAGCTGTGCCCACAATCACCCATTACCTTCCCCAAGCAAATGTGGCACGTGATGGGCAGAGTGAGCGACAATGTAACATTCTGCACGGTCTGAGCCATGGCAGCGTTCAGAATCCCGCCAACACGGAAGTCCCGCCGACCTACCGCTACTCTTCGCCAAGACTGGGCACGCGCGGGCCGGCTACGGCGCCCCGGTAGGGCCATAACCCGCCCAGGAGAGAAAACGAAAACGCGCTTTCGAAACGCGCGATCTCCAAGGCGTTTTCCTTTCATTAAAAAAAAAAAAAAAAAAAAGAAAGAAAGAAAGAAAGAAAGAAAATTCACTGATTAGGGAGCTGCAAGATTCCTGCGAATGTGTAGGAAGGTAGTTTACTACAAGTATCGAGGATCTTGGAAAATCTAAAGGAAAGCGGAATAGTGGAGACAGAAGAGGAAGATACGGAAAGGCGATTTTTTAAATCCCCAAATTGTTTTCGGGGATTGGATGGGGTGAAGGATGGAGAGTTTTTCGCCTAATTATTAAACCCCACACATCCGCCAACACAGCGTAATCAAAACATAGAGAAAAGACATTATCTACACGTTTCAATTTTTTTCAAAACAGCTTTCCACCTCTGTCAGTTCTCTTTCCACTCAATATAATGTGCTTCCAGAGGGCACAATAATTCACTTAAGAAAACAGTGATTGTCTCCTTATCTGTGTCCGAGACGATCCTGATACATTTAATCGCAGCTTTCCCTGAAAATACATTTTTACTGTGGGCTTCTCTGGGTTTTCCACCAAAAGGAGATTAACGTTTTCACGTCTTCATTTCAGGTGCATGGTTGCATATGAAATGTACCGCTGTGTTGTTGAACCCCAAGGGAGAATTTGTGAGGTTATAAGTTGCGTTTCCTACCAACAAAAAAGAAAAAAACCTAAAAGTTCCTAAATTTATCTTAAATGCAGTATAACAAATTTGGAATTTATCTGCAACTTACTTGAAGCGAGGAAGAGCTGATGTGATAAATTACGCTAACAAGTAAAATCTGTGAGTTGAGAGATTTAAAGACAAGACCATCGGGACAACTTTTACTAATCTTTGTGAAAAAGACGCAGTATGACTTCAAGAAGCAGCCTCATGGTTAAGAGAAAGGGGTTCTGGACCTGGGCTGCTTCAGCGGAAATCCCTGCCCCCAACAACTTCCTACCTAAACGGTAGCTCCATGGCTTCTGGCAACTTTTGTTTTGTTTTTTGAGATAGGGTCTAGCTCTGTCACCACTAGGTGCCAACACAGCGACCTCCCAGGCTCAAGCGATCCCATCCGCCTGCCTCAGCCAGCCTCCCGAGTAGCTGGGATTACAGTCATGCGCCACCATGCTTGGCTAATTTTTGTATTTTTAGTAAAGACGGAGTTTCACCCTGTTGGTCAGGCTGGTCTCCAACTCCTGACCTCAAGTGATCCGCCTGCCTCGAGGGTCGGGGAGTGGTTTCCCCATGTTGCCCAGGCTGGTCTTGAGCTCCTGGGCTCAATGGATCCCCCCTCCTTGACCTACCGACAGTGCTGGGATTACAGCCGTGAGCACTATTCTGCACTCTACTTCTGTGAGATCAACTTTATTAGATTGTACATGTGAGATCATGTGGTAATTGTCTTTCTGTGTCTGGCTTGTTTCACTCAACACAGCGTCCTCCAGGTTCAACCATGCCGTTGCAAATGACAGGATTTTATTATTTTTTATGGCTCAATAGTATTCTATTGTAAAGACATTTCTTTTCAAAACATTTCCCATTACTTAATGGGGCAAGTTCATTTCCTTGTAAATCATCTTGTTGATGGGTGTCAATATGTAGTCACAAAGATAATTTTAAAAATCATATCCTGCATTTTAAGTAAAGTATTAAAATTTAGACTATCTCTAACATCTCTTTCCACATTTCATACCATTGTCACAGCTTCTCAGTGTTTCAGTGCACAGTCCATACAGCCATTTCTGTGCTGATGACATTGTATTATAGTTGGTGATGTGTTTGTCCCCACAACAGGCTATGTTTCTTGAGGTCAGGGATTGCATCCAATTTATCTAATGTCTGTAATAGGTTACTGTTCCACAAATAGTAATATTCTCATTTGCTACAGCCTACCTTTATAATAAACTCAGGCTGTTTTATTTTAAACAATTTCTTTACTTGTTTTTAATCTCAAAATGGAAGATTCTATTGCTTTTTGAGAATTATAAAAATAACACATGCTCATTTTAAGAAAAACAAGCCATTAAAAAGTATATAAAATAAGTAAAAGTTCCTCCATATTTCTGCCTCACCTCTGTATCCAGTGTAGAAATCACTATTAACATTCTAGAACATATCCTTAAAACATACTAATTCATCTATTACTGTATACATAAGCACAAACAAGGTCATAGCATAACATACCTGCTTTATTCACTTAATGTTTTATGAATCAATACACATATGCCCTCACACATGCACACACATATCCAAATAATATTGTTAGCAATATAGATTGATTAGGACTCTTCCTCAGTCCAGATGAATGCCAGGCTAGTTCCCAGGCTTTGCTTTTAATAATGCAAGTGGCTTAAGGTCAGGAATTATCTCTTCTCTGCTCTGTGAAGGACATTTCCCATTTTTTGACAATTCATGTTCTAAATAGATGTCGTTTGGCCCAAATCACTAAAAGATCCTACCATTACCCTAATAGGAAAACAAAAATTATGTGGTTCACTGCTGCTTAATTTTGATCACCACATCTTGGTAGCTTTTTGAGCAGCCCTGTGATCTGATGAGTTCTATTACATTTGACATCTGGAATGGGCTAAAGCTGTCCTACATCCTTAGAATTATAAACATTTAGAGCTAAAATGGCTCTTAGGGGTTGTTATGCAGGCCTTTCCTTTCACAGATGAGGAAATCAAGGCCTACATAAGGTAAATCACCAGATAACAGTAGAATTGGGGCTAAATCCTAGATCACATTTGCTGGACTCTCTGAGAATGTTGGCCCAATGCCTTTGTGTAAGTGCAAGATGTATTATTATTAATAAAGTGTCTCAGTAATAAAAAGTCAGTCATAATTGAATTTCTTTGCTAAGAAAACCATCAAATAGCTATGGAACACCTTTTACCCCATGTTTAAATCAGATTCATTTTGATGATAAATTATTTAAAAGCAAGTTTAAAAAAATATAAAATCTTAAGTGCTATTAAAAATTGATTAGGAATGCATTATTCTTTCATTGACCCAGTTTGGATTGTTTTTTAATTTTTTTGGTCAAAGCTAATAAATTTGAGTAGATGTTTCAGACAGACATTTTGTAATCATTTGGTCATCAGTCA
This sequence comes from Homo sapiens, assembly GCF_000001405.40. NCBI lineage: Eukaryota > Metazoa > Chordata > Mammalia > Primates > Hominidae > Homo > Homo sapiens. The sequence goes on from NC_000013.11 coordinate 78,662,362, forward strand.
ATTAATCACAACTTCATAAATATTGATTTCAGCTTACATTATTTTTCATTCCTGAAAGACTTTTTTTTGTTTGTTTTAAATTTGTACACCCCACCTGGATTGTGGTTAACACTGAGGAAACTCATAAAGATACATTAAAAATTAATCAGGGGTGCTGGCCCAGTAGCATGAATGTCAGGTATGGTACCGTCCTCTCACAGGCTGGGAATTCTGAACTAAGGTGTCTCAAGATGTTGGCATGAAAGATACTTGTTAGTGCAGCAGAAAACTTGGGTTTCTCTTAAACAGTGGGTTTCGGTTTTGGTTTTGATTTTTTAGAATAGATTGACACATGTTGTCTGCTTTCACTGTAAAACTCCTAGAAGTTAGCAGTCATTCATTTAATGTATTTTTATTAAAAGCATTAAGGCACAACTAACTCAGACAAAGCTCCATCTCATGGAGCTTACATTTTAGTGGGAAAAGTTATGTGGCACTGTTTTGGAACTAACTCTAGCCTCTTGAGTAGCAGTTGAGATTTTAATACTGAACCCGCACATCAACTTTGTATGTAATCACAGTATAGTAATTGCAAAATAAATAAATAAATAAAATTAGTTATTTATTTGTTCAATACACCAATATTTTAAACTTCTTTCATGTGCCAGACACTGGTGTAAGAGTAGGTATACAAATGTGAATCAAACAAACAAGATCCTTGCCTTCATTTATTCATTCAACAAATATTTTATTTACTACCAATGATGTACCGGCCACCGTACTATTAATGAACCACTTTATAAATGGAACAACTGAGCCCAACTCTTCTATTCAATCATGAAATGCCCATTTGTATAGTAATTTCTCTCTGGATGCTCTTATTTCTCTCTTGTTTAGCCTCTGGCCATTGTGACACAGCAAGTTATAATTTTAAATATTTTTAAATGTTGCAAATTGGGTGATTGTTTTAAATTAGGTCATTTGCAAAAGAATATTTTAGTTCTACCTAAGGCTAAGTGGTGCTTCACAAATGTTTGTTGAGTGCTGGAGAATAAATGAAGGAAATATCACTTCTAGGAATATTGTAACAGGAACCACCAAGGCAGAGAGGTTGTGGGGCAAACTAGCAGAATAGGGAACCCAGCTCTGAGATACTGACTGCTTTTGTCTCTTAAGTTGCCCATCAGAGCATATTCATTTTCTTCCTACCTTATTTTATGTGTGAACAGAAATTCCAAGGTGCCGCTCCGCCATAGGAACCCAAAGTCAGTCCCCTTTTAATAAAACTAATGTTTTCATTCTATTTACTGAAGCTCTACAAATAATTGCATTCTCTCTGAGGGTACCACTCCCACAAAGGCATGCTAAACTTGACCATGGAGTTATCAAGTTGCTTTTCCTGGAAATAGGGCTCAACACCTCTTTTATGCACTCAATGCTACCAGTCATTGTGAAGCAGACTCGTTGTCCGGGGTAAATACCAAGGTTCTTGATCTCACAGCCGAGGAAATTGAGGTTGCGGAAACACACGCACACACACAGTGAGACTGGAGCAGGAGTTCAATAGGCAAAAGGAAATAACAGCTTTCTGTCACAGAGAAGGGTCCCAAGCGGGTTGCCAAGTCGTGGTAAAAAAAGGTTAGGGTTTTTATAAATGGGCTAGTGAGGAGTGGGGGGGTGGGGAACTTATCTTCCTAAGGCCCAAAGATTTAGTTGGGGCCAGGTGTGCTGTCTGCACAGAGCAGAGATTTCTATCAGTTCTCACCCCATTCACTCCGTTCCTTAATTATGTAGGCAGACTCTTTTCTTTTTTTTTTTTTTTTTTTTTTGAGACGGAGTCTAGCTGTGTCGCCCAGGCTGGAGTGCAATGGCGCAATTTCGGCTCACTGCAACCTTCGCCTCCCGGGTTCAAGCAATTCTCCCACATCAGCCTCCCTAGTAGCTGAGATTACAGGCGCGCGCCATCATGCCCGGCTTTTTTGTGTGTGTTTTTGTAGAGACGGGGTTTCACCATGTTGGCCAGGCTGGTCTCGCACTCCTGACCTCAGGTGATCTGCCTGCCTCAGCCTCCCAAAGTGCTGGGATTACAGGCGTGAGCCACGGCGGCCGGCCGTAGGCAAACTCTTCGTCTGTGCTGCTTTGTTTTGCTTATCTAGGAGTGAGGGTTTCTGTGTCTGTTCCCAGACATCTTCTTGCAGCTGCAGGTATCGCCCCCACCTCATCCCAGAGTCCGCTTTTAGCTTCCCTATCTTAGTGTGCCTAAAGGGAAAGGAATGTGCTTATTAAGGCCCACTGTTTTTACTGGGGCCCATTGTATGAGTGTGAAGTTTGGTGATTACCCAGGAGACTCCCCGACTCTTGTGCCCAACCTGTTTATCTGTGTTTTTACAGCCTGCTCTTTCAGGCTGTTCTTTGTTAGAAGAAAAGTGATTTCTTTGAACTGCATGAGGTTAGAAAATTTCTTAGCTGCTTTTTGTTAGAAGGATAGTTTTCTGCCGGGGACTCTCTTTACCCTGTCTACCTAATAATTTCTTTCTGTCTCCTATAAGTATTTCCTGCCTCAGGAATGGAATCACTAACTGCCTTTCGGGGAATTGGGCGACGACTTCTGGCTACTTCCTGCTGGAGAGGGGCGTGGTATGGGAACAGCAGCTAGGGCTCATCCTGGGGTTGATTTAAGGGTCCCTGGTAGAAAAGCCGTTTTATTTTTGGCCTCATTTGCAGCACCATTTAAAGCTTGATGGTTTCTAGGTGAGAAGAGATAAACTTTGCAAGGAGGTTTAGAATATAGGGTTTAAATATGAGCATTAAGACTACCGTTATTAGTGGAGGCACTATAGGCCATAACCATGACAACAGAGTTTTCTACCTGTGAGCCATTTAGATGGGTTGTGGGTTGTGCTGTTGTAAGTGGGTGTATGGGGCTTGTCTTTGTTAAGCTTTCTTGGTTTTACTTCCACCCCCGCCCCCACCCCCCGCGCAAAAAAAAAAAAAAAAAAAAGGAAACTTTGGGTTATAGGTTACCCAGCAGGATGGATAGGATAATTGCCCAGAACTAGAACATTGTTCTGGATTTTTACTTTACCCGTCCCTTTCTGTTTCCTTTGAGCCACAGCTGAAGATTGGTGGTTGGCTTATAGGAATAAACTTGGTTAGTTTAAAATGTAGGCAAGAATTTAAAAATGACTAATGAGACTAGAAGTTAATGACGGATGTATGATGTTTTGTTTGTTTGTTTGTTTGTTTGTTTGCGACGGAGTCTCTCTCTGTCCCCCAGGCTGGAGTGCAGTGGCGAGATCTCGGCTCACTGCAAGCTCCACCTCCCAGGTTCACGCTATTCTCCTGCCTCAGCCTCTCGAGTAGCTGTGACTACAGGCATCCGCCACCACACCCGGCTAATTTTTTGTATTTTTAGTAGAGACGAGGTTTCACCGTGTTAGCCAGGATGGTCTCGATCTGCTGACCTCGTGATCCGCCCGTCTCGGCCTCCCAAAGTGCTGGGATTACAGGCGTGAGCCACGGCGCCCGGCCGATAAGTTTTAAAACATAATTTATGGCCAGGCACGGTGGCTCACGCCTGTAATCCCAGCACTTTGGGAGGCGGAGGCCGGCGGATCGCGAGGTCAGGAGATAGAGACCATCCTGGCTAACACAGTGAAACCCCGTCTCTACTAAAAACACAAAAAAATTAGCTGGGCGTGGTGGCGGGCCACCATGTAGTCCCAGCTACTCGGGAGGCTGAGGCAGGAGAATGGCGTGAACCCGGGAGGCGGAGCTTGCAGTGAGCCGAGATGTGCCACTGCACTCCAGCCTGGGCAACAGAGTGAGACTCCATCTCAAACAAACAAACAACAACAACAAAAATAATAATTTCTCCCTCTCCAGTCATAAACAACTTATGATAAGTTAAAAACAACTTATGATAGGACTGAGCTGTTTGCAAAATAAACTTTAGTCTTATACTTGGCCTGATTATTTGCATAAAGTGCAGCAAGAATAATTACCTCTATACAGGCCTTTTTGATTGACTTTGATGGAACTCTGTTCCACAAGGAATCTTAGATAGGATTTTTAAAACCAAGCCCAGACATGGGTTTGTACCTTTAAATACACATGAGTTGGGTAAATTTTCTTCCTGATGTTCCAGAAGCATGGGGTTTTTGGCCTATTAGAAAGTGACATTCTTTACTTACCACAGGTCAGGAACCCCCCCGTACAGAGACTCTGTAGACAAGTATGAGGTCAGTTTTTTTAAGAGGCTTTTATTGGCTTTGCAAGTCAAGCTTGCTTCACACCCTTCCAGTCAAAGCTTTGGTAAAACAACCAGTTTTTCCCATTGTGTTTTGTTGCAAAAGAGAATGGATTCTTGTTGCACTTATGCAAACAACTATATTGTTGTAATTTAAGAATACTTATAATTAGTTTCCAAATGTTAGAGGAACTAGGCAGAGAGAAACAAACATGCTTTAAATCTTGTTTATGGGAGTATAACTTGTTTAGTTGTTGAAAACTTTTAAGACAGTTTCCTTGACTTTGAAAAACAAAATAAGGATTAGCAGTGTTCCAAGCATAAATTAAGAATATTGCCTTAGTTTTCTATTAGTTTAGTCCATTTTGTTAACTCTTGTTCTGCTTGATATTCATAAACATTTTAGGTTTTTAATGAGTCCTGTACATTTTTCTGTTATTAGAAACCTGCATTTATTATTAGAATTATTAGAGCACCTGTTAAGGTTTCACAGCTTGATTATAAACCGTATTCTGAAGAGAATTAAAACAAGACAACAATTGTCTGTAAATGACAAAAATATCCAGTTTGGATACAGTCAGAAACACAATTGACAAAGAAATTTGGTTATTTTTGTGGTTGACAATAACACAACATAACAACCTTAACTGTGACTGATAGCACATATTTAGACATTAGACATCCCATACAGTTTTGGAACACATGCTAATATTATTCCCTAAATATAACCTGAAGAGTATTAGACATTATTTTGGCAATTCCATGTACCTAAACATGTTAAATAATTCTGTTTACTTTTCTTCCAGATGCTCCAGGGGCCCTCTGCAGCACCCGAAAGCTAAGGGATTAGGAAAGACAAGCTTGAGACTAAAGTTTGATTTGGGAAACCTGTTAAACATGTTTAGAATTTAAAACACTTGATATTATGAAATAGAATTTTAGATTACCATAAGTTATTTGTTTTGCCAAAATAATGAGTCAAAAATTTGAAACAGCAAAAACCATCCATCAGTCTTTTGTATTACATGAAAATCCTGTTCAAGAGAGAAAGTTAAATTTCACCTTTGCATTAGTTTGCTGTTAATGTTAACCCTAATTTTTAATGAAACCTTACAGACAATCCTATTTAATCTTAACCAGTTTGACTATGAAGTGAGATTTTCACAGACCTTTTATAACTCTCTGCAAGTTTTGCTAAAGAGCAGATTGTCATCTTAAGAAAACCTTGGGCCAGGTGCGGCAGCTGATGCCTGTAATCCCAGCACTTTGGGAGGCCAAGGTGGCCAGATCACGAGGTCAGGAGTTCGAGGCCAGCCTAACCAACATTGAGACATTCTGTCTCTACTAAAAACACAAAAAATTAGCCAGGCGTAGTGGCGTGTGCCTGTAATCCCAGCTACTAAGGAGGCTGAGTCAGGAGCATCACTTGAACCCAGGAGGCAGAGGTTGCAGTGAGCCGACATCACACCATTGCACTCCAGCCTGGGTGACAGAGCAAGACTCTGTCTCAAAGAAAGAAAGAAAGAAAAAAAAAAAAAACCAACAACCTTGTTGTGCTTTTATTTTAGTGTTTAATTTACAGAAAAAAACATATAATACCCTTTTGAATTTAGTTAATATGTTCACACACAGAGTTTCTTTTGCAAGATTTTTACAATCTTTTCACAATTTGCTTAAACTCTTCACTTTATTTTATTTAATTTAAGACAATCCTTTATTTCTAGGCAAAATGTACATTTCCATGCCTTTTTATATTCTTTAAATAAAAACACCTTTTACTGGTTTTTACACACCTCGCATGTAGATTTATATTCAGTAGTTTCAATTACATGTCATAATGGTAACTCTTAGCAATTTTCAACTTTAATGTAAAACCCAGTAGGTTGTTTTAATTATGTGCTAGATGTGGATAAAGTTTGACTTCTTTTAGCATAGTTAGGGGCATGGTTGCTTCCATATGTTCCCAGGCCTTACCAATTGTGAAGCAAGCAAGTTGACAGTTTTTAAAGGCTAAAGAAGTAGTTTACAACCTCAAAACATTTAGCAAACCTGTAGTATCTGACCTGCCTAATTTAGACCACATTTTTACACCTTGAAGACATTTGTATTTTACCAATAATTTCTAAAACTATTTTTATTTTTAAAGATTAAAGTTACGTGAACTGAAAGGTACCACAGCTTTTACTTTTCCCTTAAAAATATTTGATTTAAGCACTTACGTTCTTAGCCCAATTAATTAGAGCTCTTTTTAAATAGACATTACACTCATAGCACATATATAACCACACAGACCAACAGAAGAAGATCCAGTTCTTATAAGATTTTTTATTTACTAATTTCTCAATTGGATTATTGGCCTCCTGGTGAGACCCTTTAAGAAAAGAGCTAGGAATACAATTTCCAGGGCCTAGCAGACAAGCATACCCAGAAGACAAAGACAGATTTTGAGAGGTCCTTCTTCACCTCTAATTCCAGGGGTTCCATGAAGAAACCAGATTTTTTCCAAAATGGGATTTGTGGTGTCTTTTCTGTTTTCCCAAGGAGTCCTAGGCCACCAGAAGTCATTCTGTGGCCTTTCATGCATGTACCAAGAGTGGCAAGCAACAGTGGAGAAAGTAATTCAGTTGACAGAAAAAAACCTCTTCCAGAAAAACAAGATTTATGAAGAGAAAAACATAAAGGCCTTTTAAATATACCCATTAAAAAGAAAAGCCTCACAAAGGACTCCCATATCCTTGCTATCTGCCTAAGTGATTTCTCCTTAACTCTTATATCATAACCCCCAATGTGAAAGTATCTGAAGATAGTATTTAGATAGTAATTAAAGATAAATGAGGTCATAAGGGTGAGGACCTCATCTTATAGGACTGTGGCCTTCTAAGAAGAGGAAGAGAGATCAGAGCTCTCTTACTCCCCACCATGTCAGGATGTAGGAGAAAGGCAGAAGAGGGCTGTCTACAAGCCAAGGAGAGAGCCCTCAGCAAAATCCAAGCATATTGTCACTCTGAAAAGACTTCCAGGCTCCAGGACTGTGAGAAAATAAGTTTCTGTTGATTAAGCCATCCAGTCTATGGTATTTTGTTATGGCAGGCTGAACCAAGACACTTTTTTCCTTATTTATGTCTTTTTCTTATTTATACTTTTTTCTATTTATGATTTTTATTTATGCTTTTCTGATTTTCTTAAACTTAAAAATTACTTTCATAACCACAAAAGTTTTAACAGTAAAAAAAAAATCAACCTTAAAAGGATCATCATTATACTATATTTTACTAAATATGTGACCTATGTTATCTTTATAGTGAGAACAATTCAAGGAAAATCCACATGAAAACCAAATTTCAATTCAATTTTATGGAAATATATTGAGGACCTGCTGGGTCTAGCCAAAGACCTAACAAGTGCTATACTTAACGGCCTCACACAAATCTCGTACCTGTCTTTCAACAGTTATAACACATACCATTTCTGTCCTTCATGAACTTAAATGGTGACTTGCAGAATTGTTTTTGGTCTCCCTAGAGTGTTCCTTGAGATTAATGTAGCTGTGAAAAATTTATAATAGTGGTCACCAAAATCTGCTTCTCCTCCCCTTCCTGGAAGACAGTTATATTTACAGTCCTATTAAAGTTGTCTTGATCATGGTGCTTTCTTTGGCCAGTGAAATATGAGTAGAAGTAATACCGATAGGTGTCTTCCACATTCAAACTTTAGAAGTATGTGTCTACTTCCTCATGCCACTTTTTCTTTTGCTGTGAGTACTGGAAGTACGTCAGTAGAGGCTTCTCTGTAAGCCTGGCTCCTACAGTGAAGGCAGCATAGAGAAGAAACTCAAGCCACATGCAACAGGCTTGAAACATAAGTTAGAAATAAATCTTTACTGTTATAAGCCACTGACATTTTGGGGTGACTTTTTTCAATAGCTACAAATGCTAGCTCATCCTTCCAATACAACAGCCCTGCCCTCTAAGTGCTCATGTTCTGTGAGACCATACATGTGTCTCTGTCTATGTATACAGTACAGGCTAGCCCTTTCTTGGAAAAATATGTGCTGAACACAGATAAACCACATAGATTTTATTTCAGGGGGATCTTGCTACCCCACTTGTTGGGAGAACTGTCAGCAGACACTCTTCAACCTTCATCCCCTTCAGGGTTGGCCTCAACTACAGAGAACTATCTCAATCAAGGTCATATTCTTCTGGGGGTGGCTCACACCTGGAGACTAATGGAGGCAGGGATATAAAGGCTCGGCTATTTGGAGACAATGCAAGACAACTGTAATGGGTGACTTTAGCTGTAGAGCTCCCTGTGGGATCTGATGAAGTGTTGATGGGTCTGCATCCCAGCTTGACTTCTTTCTGTTCCCTACCCTACTTCCCTCTCCTACCCTTTCACTGGTATTGGTCACAAGGGCACTTCCTGACAAACCTCCTGCATGTTCAACTCTGTCTCAGAATCAGCTTCCCAGAGAACCCGACCTGCAACAATGTACCTTGATCTTGGTTTCTGGTACTTAGGATATGCATGTGTGTGCATGCATGTGCTCATGTGTGCATTAATGGACACGTATGTTTAATTATCTGTGCATCTAATCCTGGCTTCATGGATATCTCCATAATTATTCTATAAAGAAACAACTGGGTTTAAGAAACAACAATAGGAAAGAAGAAAGGAAAGAAAGAAAGGAGGGAGAGAAGAAGAAAGGAGGGAAGGAGAGAGCAAGAAAGAAAGAGAGAGAATGAGAAAGAGAGAGATTGAAAGAGAATTGAGAGACATTTCCAGCCCAAATTTCACTTCTTTGTCCTTGTCCCAAATTCTACATGGATGTATTTGACACTGGGCTTTTACCTCCCATTTCTCCTGGTTTTCACTGGAATATCCTACTTATCTTTATGCTTTCTCTCTCTGACCCCACATTAGGACAACCTAAACACATTTTACTGTAAGGGTATTGACTACACATTCGATTCTCAGCAGTCTCAGCATTAACTACCCTGGGAATCCAGGAGGTAGAAGGTTACCTTGGTACCACACCTTACCTACCTGTATGACAGAAGGCAAGTCATCGCACCTCTGTGGGCCTCAGTACTCTCAGCTGCATGTCAAGGAGATTGGGCAAAACAACCTCCAAAAGTTTTTTCAGGTCTTAAAAGAAGCCTAAAACATTGAATCTAATTGCTAAATCTAATTATAGCATAAAAACAGCTACCAAATATAGAAGTTCCTCTTATAGTTCTAGGGAGGGTATAAGTGGCTGAGGAATTCCAAGGGACCAGTGGGACACTCAAGAGCTTTGGGACATGGATGGAAGCATCAGAAGAACACTGTAAATGGTGCCATCATTCTTCACAGTTGGCATTATGTTGGTAAACTCAGCTTGCTTCAGATTTGACTCTCAGCTTTGAAAGTCCAGAAACTGCAATATATCAGTTCAGTCAATACTTACCAGGTTCACTTTAATCAAACTGACCACCACAGATACATAAAGAATAATGCAAATACATGAATTTACAAAGAAGGAAACCTCTTTCTGGTGACTTGCATCTTTAATTTAGCAGCCGTTACTTTAGAGCAAAGGAAAATGGAGAGTCTGGAGGTTATGCTGTTTCTGGGGTGCGAGAATTCTATAGAGTTAGGACCAAGGACACTTCTCCTCTCTGATCTTTGCAATCAGTAGCTCTCTCTGTTGGAGTGGGTTGGGCACACACCTACTGAAAATAGGCTTTTGTGCCTCAGGGTCTTCCCACTTTCCCCCTTTGGTTACCCGTTTGTTCTTGAAATAGGTCATTATTACTGATCAGCTGCAGCCCCTCTACTCCTGTGGGCCTCAGAGACTATCTTCTTCTAGAAGGTATGTTAGAGATGCAAGTTTGTCTTTCAGAAGCAGACTTGGTTTTTATGTTGAAAGTCATTGAGGGAAACTCCTTATCAACTACAGGTGTATAAGAAGGACTTTTCAGAAGTCAAAAGGCAGGGCCCCTTTTTTGGTTTTTGGTTTTTATTTTTTAAGCTCCTCAGTATACTTTTTTTTTTTTAATGAAAGAAAATGCCAACACAGTATTACAGTATTGTAGTATATTTTGAAGATTTACATTTAACAAATGAATTTCTTTAACACAAAAATATAATGTAACAAAGTTAGTTCACATTGTCCAAGATAATTATAGGATTTGTTGTAGAATATTAAGTCCTGGGCACTACAAGAAGTGCTGTCTTGGGAAGTTTTTGGGTTTTTTCAATCCATGGGTCACATCTCCATCAGTGGATCATGAAATCAATTAGTGGGTGAACAGCAGAGCAAACAAGAGCAGGTTCAGGTGTAAAAAAACTCCTTCACCTCTCTCCCCCAAGCCAGGGTGGATGGGTTGAAAATTTTTATGTGGGATTTGTATTTTCTCCTCACTCCCACCAGCCCGCAAAACCTTAGGAATTTATACTGACTCTATCCACCTTTCCCATCCCCTCACCTTCACCTGATTGCAACCTATACTTTAAGAAACTTTCAAGAAAAGAGAATGGAATACAAATACACAGTGCATTGCATGTGGTAATGGTAAGTATGGCTTTGTGCTGGTTGTTATGTACAATAAATTTCTGACTGTGGTTTACACTAAAAAATTTCAGAGCCGGTATCGTAGTATACAAGTTTAGGATGAATGATCAGCATGTCCCTACAATGAAGTATTTACATTCTTTCTGAGATGATGTTAAATGTCAAAACTTGGATCACCTGATAAATGCAAGACTTGGGCCAAATTAATCTTCTAGTATTCCCCCACCCATCCACCCTAAGCAAGAAGGTGTTTACCAACCCAGTGGTGCCTTGATTAACCACTTTTTTTTCTGTCCCCATTCTCTCCTCGCCTCACCCCTCCACCAAAACATAAAGTTAAACATTATATATTTTCAAGAAATAGTCTCAACTTTATTGCTCTGACTTTGCAAAAACTGAGTGCAAACAAAAGAAAAGAGTATGACTTTTGTTGTAATTTCTTTCTCAGACACAAAATTCTAGCAGTGCTTGATATGGTTTGGATGTGTCCTCACCCAAATCTCATCTTGAATTATAGCTCCAATAATTCCCACATGTTGTGGGAGGACCCGGTAGGAGATAGTTGAATCGCGGGGGCAGTTTTCCCTGTACTGTTATTGCCGTAGTGAATAAGTCTCACAAGATCTGATGGTTTTATAAGGGGAAACCCCTTTCACTTGTTTCTCATTCTGTCTTGACTGCTGCCATGTAATACATGTCTTTTGCCTTCCTCCATGATTGTGAGGTCTCCTCAGTCAAGTGGAACTGAGTCAATGAAACCTCTTGTTCTTTTTCTTTTTTCTTTCCTTTTTTTTTGTTTGAAACAGAGTCTCGCTTTGTCACCTGGGCTGGAGTGCAGTGGTGTGATTTCAGCTCACTGCAACCTCCACCTCCCAGGCTCAAGCAATTCTCCTGCCTCAGCCTCCTGAGTAGCTGGGATTACAGGCACAGGCCACTATGCCCAGCTAATTTTTGTATTTTTAGTAAAGATGGTGTTTCACTATGTTGGCCAGGCCGGTCTCGAACTCCTGACTTCAAGTGATCTTCCCAAAGTGCTGGGATTATAGGCGTGAGCCACTGTGCTCGGCATACCTATTTTTCTTTATAAATGACCCAATTTTGGATATGTCTTTATAAGCAGCCTGAAAACGGACTAATACAGTACTGCAAAAGGTAACCCAATGTGAATAGTGGTTCAGCCCCGCAGGCATTCTGCAGTGTGTGCTATGTGTTCTTAGCAACAAACCTTATAGATAGTCATTCTCTCTGTTTTATAGTTCAGAGAATTGAGGTTCAGAGAGGTAACAAAGCTACATAGCTGTTAAATGCCATTGATGGATTTTCTGATATGTGTTCCAGTGGCTGCTCATTCACCAATCATTTGTCAAGGATGCACTATGTCCTGGAAACTGTGTATTAGGAAACCTGGAAAATATTAACTTGAGACATAGCGTCTGCCCTCAGAGAGCTTGAGTCACTCTGTGGCTATAGATATATTTCATACTTAATCAAATATAGTAAGATAATATAGCCATAACAGCCATTACTCATGGAGCATTAACTTTGGGCCAGGCATGAAGTCTGCATGGTGCTGTGGGCATCCTGTGGAGAAGTCTCCTTTAAGGGTAGGGATCAGGTAAGTTTTGCCATCTCTAGGAAATAGTGGTTAGAATATTCAGCAGCAAACAAGGACAGCAAAGCCCTCAGGACAGAGGAGACTGCCTGTGCAGAGAAATTGGCTGGGTGAAAGAGTGCCCTTTGTCATGGGGATGCAAGCAAGGGAAAGAGAGTTGGGAAGATTTCAGGATTACTAGCTTGGACAACAAGTGTGGGGGTAAGACATAAGCAATCACTGAATTTTGTAAGTTTACTCGAGATTCAGTATTGTGGAATGATCTCACTCATCTGTGGAATCTAAAAAAGTTAAACTCAAGGTCAGTGGCTCTCACCTGTAATGCCAGCACTTTGAGGGGCTGAGGCGGGAGGATCGCTTGAGCCCAGGAGTTTGAAGCTGCAATAAGCTATGATGGTGTGACTGCACTCCAGTCTGGGTGACAGATCAAGACCCCATATCTTAAAACAAACAAACAGACAGACAGACAAAACGAAAAGAGAGCAATGTAGCTCTGCTGTAAACAGTTGGGAAACAGCTGCAACTGATAGTCCCTGCTGGCATGCTGCTATTAAGGACAGGCATGCTCAGTACCTGGAGAAGCCATGTTGAGGTTTGCAAGGCTAAGTACTGGAGCATCAGGCTTTGCAGGCCAGGCCTGAGATAGACATAAGAAAGCAGGCCTGTTTCCGCTAGTTAGTTTATTGCAATTCATTTTTGTAGCAGGGGGAAAATATCAGCAGGTTATCTTCCTTGCTCTCAAAAGGAGATTAGGAAGCTCCATTTTGAATTTCTTAGGTTTTATATGCTATTGGTATGTATACAGCAACCCTCCTATAATTGGCAGCCTTTAGTTTATTAGTGTGTTTGTGTTTTTAAAAACTGCCAAAGTGTTGTTCAAAGTGGTTTATCTTTTACATTTTCATCAACAATGTATGGGAATTCCAGTTGCTCCACATCCTCACCAACAAGCAGTACAGTCAGGCTTTTATAAGTTTAGCCATTGTAATAGGTGTGTAGTGGCATCTATTATGCTATTAATTTACATTTCCTGAAAGGATCTTTTCATATGTTTATTAGCCATTCATATGTCTTCTTTGATGAAGTGACTGCTCAAATCTTTTACCCATTTTTAAAATTTCATGTTCGTTTTCATTTTTAGTTGTAAGAGTTTGTTATATATTCTAAATACATACATATCCTTTATCAGATATGTGTTTTGCAATTACTTTTTTCCAGTTTGTGGCTTGTCTTTTGATTTTCTTAACAATCTGTTTTGCAGAGGAAAAGTATTTAACTTTGATGAAGTTGTTCTTTCTCCTTCCCTATCTCTTTGATTCCTTCAAGTCTAGAAGTGGGGCAGATTCTTTTATCCTACCTTGGCTGATGTGTGAGTAGGAGCACGTCACATTGTTCCCTAGTTTAGTTCTGGCATTCCCCCTTTCTATATGTTTTTGATTCCCTGGTTTCTGTAGGAAGGAATTAAAGCATAGAGTGAAGGAGCCTCAGGTAAGATGAAGGCTTTATGGGACAATCATCAGAACTTAAATTCATCCCAGACCAGCATTCAACCCACTCCAAAGGATTCTTTTTTGTTTGTTTTTTTTGAGATGGAGTCTCATTCTGTTGCCCATGGTGGAGTGCAGTGGCATGATCTTGGCTCACTGCAACCTCCACCTCCTGGGTTCAAACAATTCTCCTGCTTCAGCCTCCAGAGTAGCTGGAATTATAGGCATATGCCACCACACCCAGCTTGGTTTTTTTTTTTTTTTTGTACTTTTAGTGGAAACGGGGTTTCACCACATTGACCAGGCTGGTCTCAGACTTCAGACCTCAAGTGATCCACCCACCTTAGCCTCCCAAAGTGCTGGGATTACAGGCATGAGCCACAGTCCCTGGCCTGAATTTTAAGAGAGCTTCTCTTCTATTCAATGGAAGGAGATTCTTTGACAAGAAATTTTCTCCATAACTCACATTTTGCAATGATGTAAAATGTGAGTTATGGAGCAAGCCAGGGAAGACTTGAGTCTCAGCTGTGTCACTTGTGGTAGTAGATTTCTTTAAAGGACTCCTCTAGTGATTTTAAAGTATTGAATACTCCTGATCTATTTGCCTCGTAACCTAAAATCTTCAAGTTAAAGCGACAACAAGTTTTCTTTTTTGACTAATCATTATTTAGAGAGAAAGTCAAGATAAGCATTAATTTCCAGAAAGATGTCTGGAATATCCTTTAAAAATAATAATTTGTGTTTCTCTGAAAACTGTTTCTAAAAATATGTTCCTATGTCAGAATCATTTGAGTAAAAAGAGCTATTAGTCTCCAACCCCCCACTTACAGAATCAGAATTTCTAGGCTGCCGGTCTTCATGTGATTCTTATGTACACTCAAATTTGAAAATCATGGACAGAAATGTCATTTCTTGTATGTGTGTTTAATTATATAATGTGGATGCTGGCCTCTGTGCCAGGGCCACAGGGTCATTGGAAGGCAAAGTTTGTGTTCTATCTCATGCCTTTTACGATAAAAATTACATGCTTCTAAAGAAAGTGTAAGAAAAACAGAAAGAGTTTTCCACACCTGCCTCTGGGAGAGAAGGAGCTAACTTGCAGGATGCTGACTAGCTGGGCCAGATTATTACCTGCTTTAGGCAAGCATGCACCTAAGTCTATTGGCTGCAGGCAACAGAGACCCTAAGGGGCATGGGGCAGAGGCATGTGTGGTTGGGAGGTATTATTTACTGCCTATTCTGCAGGGCTGAGAAAAGTGAGTGTCATTTTATTGAAGTCAGAGAAGTGAAGGAGAATGTCAGAAGACATCTCCTAGAGGTTTGGCTTATGGTTGCAGAGATATAATACATGTTAAAGGATGGCTTTGAAATTATTTTCTAACAAGATAAAAACTTTCCTGTAATTACTTATAGTAACCATTACATTATTACAATGCTAAAAAGAAATGGTATGTATTAGTCCATTTTCACAAAGTTGATAAAGACATACCTGAGACTGGGAAGGAAAGGAGGTTTGATTGGACTTACAGTTGCACATGGCTGGTGAGGCCTCAGAATCATGGTGGGATGCGAAAGGCACTTCTTTCATGGCAGCAGCAAGAGAAAATGAGGAAGAAGCAAAAGTGGAAACCCCTGATAAACCCATCAGATCTAGTGAGACTTACTTGCTATCAAGAGAATAGCATGGGAAAGATCGGCCCCTATGATTCAATTACCTCTCCCTGGGTCCCTCCCACAACACATGAGAATTCTGGGATATACAATTCAAGTTGAGATTTGGGTGGGGACATAGCCAAGCCATATCATGATATTTATCATGAAATATAAAAAAAAGTGCAGACAAATAAGACATGTCTTACATCCATCATGTAAGACCATGCAAAGCCAATAAAACTTTCCAACCATATTGGACATACACTGTCCTTTCCCACCTCCTTACTATTTTCCACATACTTCCCCCTAATTCTTATCAACATTCTGTTTTCCTTTCAAGGATAGATTTGAATACCAGCATTGTCTAACTTAACCCCATCCACAAACCCCATCCTCTAGCTTGAAGTTTCTCCATATCTTGCCACTGTCTATTTTCAACCCTTCCTTTCTGCTTCCTCCCTGCAGGAGCTCATTGGTTTGCTCAAGTATGTCTTCTCACTGTCTTTGCAATGCCAGGCACAATCTAACATCTGTTTCATTGTAATTATCATTTTTTCCATGGTCTAAAATGTTTTCCTCTTTTCTACTACTTTAACATGACCTATATTTTAAGATCAGAACAAAGTCCTTGTCCTTCTCAACTCCTTTTCTGGCTATGAAAGTCTATTATTATTTCAGTCTGTTCAGCTACTTTGAGTCTATAACTCTTCTTTAGCATTTTTGTTATTTGTATGATTTATTATCTTTTTAATGAATTTTATCTTTCCAACTAAATTATAGGTTTTTTTATAGGCTGTGTGTCTTCAACTTCTTCATATTCTCCTATGAGTCTGTAATAGCAGTCTTCTAATTCTAATGTTTCATGGTGAAATTCAATATATGAAGGAAAGATTCTACAGGCTGGAGTAATACACAGAGTTATATTCTAATGTGCAGCTTAGTTCAATATCTGGGTCATACTTTCACTTCTGAAATCTCTTACCAGATGGTGAGCATCTAGATGGCGAGGTGTATCATGTATCTTTGTATTCCTAGTTGACAGTAAATTAATATTTGTTGAATTAATGATTAGGAAAGAACTTTCTTGTAATATCAGAAATCATGATATACTTCTGCTCCAGCCTCATAGCATTGTCTCCTTTTTTTTTGGATGTGCTTTTAAAAACTGTAGTATCAATAGGGCTGCTTAGAACTGGACATAGCACCTCGCATATACCCTGTTATTTCATACCTCTATGTCTTTGCTTATGCAGTTCCTTCTACCTGGAATGCTCTTTCCATCTTTCTTTACTTGGCCAGCTTTAACTCATTCTTCAAGCCCCAGTTCAGAGTAATCTCCTCTAGGAAATCCTACCAGAACCCTTAGGAGTTGTCACTCCTCTATATTTCCAGAGCACCCTCTACACACCTGTATTTTAGCACTTATTATATAGTGCTGAAATGTTCTGTTCACATATCTGTCTCCCTTATTAAACTACACACTCCTCCAGGTTAACACTGTGACATGGCCTGACTTATTTGTCAGTATAACCCTTACTTATCCCCCATCTTGCACAGAGTCTTGTATAATATCATAGGCATTCAAGAAATGTGGTTCTTAATCAGGAGTGCTTTTGTTTGTCAGGGTTCATTTGGCAGTGCCTGCAGATATTTTTGGTTGTCACAACTGGGAGGGGTGGGAGTTGCTACTGGCGTCTGGTGAGTAGAGGTCAGGGGTGCTGCTAAATATCTTACCATGCACAGGACAGCCTCTACTCCCCTGGAACAAATAATTACACAGTCTAAAATATCAGTTGTGCTGAAGCTAAGAAATTTTGGCTTAAACTGTGAGGTGAAAAAGCGTTGTTTGCTAGAAGCAATGCTTTGGAAATGTTAGAGGACATGCTCTCATCTCTACATTATTTGTTTTTCAGGAAGACTTTTAGATATGCATTAACAGTTGGGAATGAACATCTAATAACAGCAACTTCTGATATGCTAGTGAAATGGCTTGGTGTCTAAGTGTGATCAATGTTGGAAACTAGAAGTTAAAAGCTTTTGTTCATGCAGGGTTCTGTAGGTTTCCTAAAAACCTCTCTACACAACTCTAGGAGTTAGATTCAGCTGAATTTTAAAAGATCAAATCTTTGGATGTGAAAAATCAATCCCACAGGGATTTAGAATAGCTTCTCCTGGTCATTTATGAACTGAACCGGATAACTTTGTGAATTTTATGTACTAAATGTAGCCATACTCCCACATAAAACTGCAGGGGAACCGTACTTACGCAGGAGAGACTCTGCTATGTAACTGCACGCAAACACAGCTTTCAAATGACTTCAACTCACCTACTTAGACCAAAGAGCCTGTCAGTTAATTTAACAAATTATCCCTGTTCCCTGATCTTTGAGCCATAAAAATTGTTCATCTGCTCAGTCACAGGCCATTTAATTTTGGATGCATCGTTGCCAGTTGGTTACAGTAATTAGCATTCCCTATATTGTGGCGGCTTCCCTGAAGCTATGCTAAGTAGGGTTGCACTTTTGTGTGGAAACATAAGCTGGGTTGTGCAAATGAGCCTGGCCACCCATCTTAGAGACAGAAGCCCTAACTACCGTCTTCTTGGCTCGGGGTGCCTTCCAGGCCCACCTGCAGATCTTATTTACTGATTATTAATGACGAGAACTGTAGGCAGCTGTGAAAGGCACAGCATGGCAACTCAAAACTGCAACTCAAAACTATCCTCTGTGGGACTGTAATTTTCTTGAATGACACCTGACTTCATTTTAATTTCTTTCTTTGCTCCAAATGCACTTGTGCTGGAGAAATGCAATAGAAATTCAATGAGCTCCATGTTTAATAGACAGACTTCCAACATTTGTTGGTGCATCTGTTAGTTTCCTGGCAGAAGTGGGGCATTTGGAGAGGAAATACACGTTTGTGTTTGTTCCAGAGTTGGCACACAACCTATAAGGCGATGATTCAGCAGGGCCTCTGCAGAGGTACCAAAGAAAAAGGTTACCTGGTGGTTCACTAGTTGCCAGTCTATGGAGATCCTGTAATACATGGCTTCAAAAATCAAATTTGACTGAATAAATGTTCATCTTCAAACATCATCAGTGTTCATGCTTAGATCATATTTTAATTTCAGTTTAGAGGGACACGGTTTTCTGCATAAATGTCTGAAAATGAATCGGTCTCATTAGGAATGAAAACTGGATTTAGTTTTGTGAAATACCCACCTCTGCACTTTTGTTTGTACATCTGCAGAGTTTTGGTTTCCTAGGAAACCACCATGCAAGAGTTTGTAAGAAGGGTTCACCACACGTTGCTTTATATCCCGGATGGTTTTATTTCTTTTCTAATATACTAGAAAGTAATATTTCACCAGTAGAATTCATTTTTGCATAGTTGATTTTCAGATTAATAGGACAAACACCTTGAATGTAATTAAGAATAGGTTATGTTGTTTTCTTCTATTTGACGGATGCTAATGCAAATATGGGGCTTTAGCTCATATTAGTTGCGTTCTTGTCTTTTACTGCAAGGCTGAATTGTTCAAATGAATAAAAGCATCTTAAGTTGAAAGTTTGGGGGTAAGGAACTTATACATTTTATGATGGATTAGCCATTTTGCTGTCCTATTTAATCATCATATTCTGTAAGCCTGGTGAACTCCATTAATTAAAAAATGATCTACATAGTCTAGGTACAATTAATCTTTATTTGCATACATTTTGAGGTAAAATAAACAGTACAAATAGAGAAAAGAACCACTTTCAGCACTTGGTGATGTTGCATGCAGTGGGTGATTATGACTGACCAGATGAAGACAAGGAATACGCTGGTTAGTGTTGTTTTACTTTACATTTCTTAATAGGACTCTACAGAGGATTATTTTTATAAATGTGAACACAAGCACCAAAGCTCAATAAGACCAATGGATTTGGAGAAGAAAAAATAGACCCAAGTCCAGTAATTTCTTCTTTCATTTGCTACCAAAAATAAAGGGAAAAAAGGAAAGACAGGGAATGCCCAGCAGAATAGTCGCAGCAGGAAGAGCAAGGAGAAAAAGGACTTCAGGACCCCATTTTGAAATTCCTTTAGACTACATCACAAGAACTACAGTAACAGAAAAAAGTGGAACAACTTCTTATTGCCCATGATGTATTTCTGTTCGAGAGGGTATCTTTTAATATCATACCAGGATAGAAAATCTAAGGTCTGCTTCCAATTGCCTGCTACTATTATTCATTTTTTTTAAGGCAACAAAAACAGTCTGTTTTTGATAGGGGAGGAGGAAAGAATGTAAATACTTGTCTAAGAGTATTGTGGTGAATGGCCTTTGGAAAGCTTTATTGACAAGCTCAACCTCAATTATAAATGAAGGGAGAGGCAAAGTGTTTGTAAAGACAGTCTTTTTATTGGGGTCTCCCAGCAGGTTATTCTGTTCAATGTCCAGAATGAATCAAGAAAGTGAGGAATTCAGAGCCTCTAAAATTCTGTGCTTCATTCTGTCATCCTCAATGGCTATGGAGGGTGGGGGGATAAGACTCTTTGGAGAGTAAGCAATTTCTTAGGTGATTGCAAGGAACTTTTATTTTGGCCAAGAAGACTTTTTGTAGGGGAGTCAGTGGGATAGGAAGAAACAAAAATTCTGAGTTTTTGAACTTCACAAGGCTATTTCTTGTATTGAACAATACACATATTTTGCTCAGTCTCATCCGTTATCAATAACAATTCATACCTCCTAATAGTATCTCAGCAAACTGTATCAAAGGTGGTGAGAAAATAAAATGATGGTAATAGTCATAAAATTACGTAATGTAAGAACTGAAAGGAATCTTTAACATCGTTAAAACACAGAAAATTAATTAATAAGAAGTAAGTTTCTTCCTAGTAAATAAGTAAAACATATTTTTTGCTTTATTGTGGCTTGTTTTCAAAAATTCTCTGAAGTCAATGCTTATCACTGCAATTCTGAGTCAGGGTTTGGGGGATCTAAATCTGGCCCAACTTTCCATGAGGACAATATTCAATACTGGAAGTTATCCTTGGAAGGCAAATCAATTCTCCAGCCATTCTGGATTTTCAAATCTATTACCAAGTGGATTTGGAGTGGAAGTGGGGAGGGTTTATCATTAATGAATACATTTGCACTCTGAGGGCGATACTTTGGTTGGTGCAAATTTAAGGGAGTATTTATTAAAAAAATTAATCTGAGACAGGTTTGACTTGCTGGCTGGTATTAAAGTGTACCTGGTACTTGTTTTAATCATGTATACTAAGACCAACAGATAAGGAGAGGACTGTCATGAAGAAAGAAGTTTTTTTTTTTTTTACTAACAATTCCCTGGAACCAGGAGACACAGCACACAGGGTCATATGGGGAAGCACCTGTGTCAGTCAGGAGGCAGAAGAAGGGAGGGAAAGCATGGTCCCAAACTTTTATTGTGGTTTCTGTGGGAAGGGCAAGGCAGGGGAGGGAAAATACCTTAGGGTCTTAGTTGGAATAATTTTGGTGGGCTCTGAGCTACAGTCATCCAGTACCTGGCCCCGGAATGATTAAGGGTGAAGGAAATACTGACTTGGTATGTGAGAGTTAACAAAGGTGGTGTTTAGGGGTATGGGCTTGGGATAAATTGGTTTGCCTGTGAAAGGTGTTCTGGTATTCTAGTGGGGAAGTTGTAAAGGAGTGAAGGATGTGCTACCCCAATATATGACTAATTAATATATTATTTTGAGTTGAAAATGATACAAACAGGAGGCAAGGAAATACTGGGCAGAAGAGGATGGTTCCCTGGTAAAGGCCTTACTCTCAAGCCTGGAAACCCATGGGCTTAAATGGGAACAGCCATTCCTGTTTTTGTGCCCAAATGTTGCCTTTTGGCCCACCATGTCCCTCCATCCTACACCCATATAAACCCCAACCCCTGGCTCCATGAACAGAAGAACAGACAAACAGAAGAGTGGCAGAGCAGCAGAACAGCATGGCAGAGGGGAAGAGAAGAGAAGGAGTGTCTGAACATTGAAAGGAGATCGGTTGACGATGGTCGGAGAGGAGATAGGCTGCTGGACAGCCAAACTCCAGGAGATGGTCACCTTCCCACTCCATCCCCTTTCCAGCTCCCAATTCATTGTGCTGAGGGCCACTTCCACGACTCAATAAAACCCCAGCATTCACCATCCTTAAAGTCTATGTGTGATCTGATTCTTCCTGAACACTGGGCACGAACCTGGGTACCAAGAAGGCACTGAGCTGGCTAATACTTAAGCTGTCTGCTGATGGCAGAGCTAAAGGAGCACTGTAACACACCCACTGGGGCTTCTGGAGTTGCAGGCACCCACTCCTAGATCCTACTGTAGGGCCAGAGCCCAACAGCACTTGCCTCAGCTCCTGCATCTGCCCATCTGCTTGCTCCCCCTCCCATAACTGTTTGAGCATGGGGCCTGAACAGACGAGCCACACCTCTGTCGCATGTCCTGTGAGGGAAGCCAGGGAACTCTCCCATTTTAAAAACGTGGGAGAAATTGTAATTTCAGAAAAAGTGGGCTGACCTGTCTCTTCCTGCATGGAGCAAAGTGATAAAGATTCCTTTGGGAGAGGTACTCTCTCCATACCAGGGTGAACAAATAGCTTTTATCACCAGAGAGTTGGAATTAGAAGCTACGAAGGACCTGAATAAACATACTTAACGAAGCAACCCTTATCCCCTATATGTTGTATACTTTCCCCACATATATCTCCTAATGACGCCCCTAGAAATTTACTGCCCCAGCCTGATTTTCTTTATTCTGTCATTTCTTCTCCAATTTATCACTTTTTGTCCAAAAAGTACAGAAGCATCTTGCTTTGGCCACTTCATCAGACTTCACTCTCTCATGAAGACCCCCATGTACATGTACACCTAACAAAATCTACGTACTTTTCTCTTGTTGATCTGCCTGGGGTCAATTTGGTTTCTAGATCCAGCTGAGGAGCCCACCAAGGGCAAAAGGATGGTTAGGAGTGATCTCTGACTCCTACATTTGGTATCTCCAGGAATTTGCTAACTCTGGGAAGGGCAGTCTCTTCCCTGGTCTCCAAGGCTCCCAATATTTCAAAGCATAATGAAATACAAAAAAAAAAGAGGAAAACATGACTAATACACTGGCTCTGTTTCAATCGTGAATCCCTATACTGTAGGGCTGAGCTGCATTCGAAGGTGAGATCTTGAAGTTGTCTAGATGTTGAGCTTTCACTCAGAAGGGGTAGTGGAACCTTGATAACAGATGGGAGATTATTTTAAACGTTTGACCAAATAACACTCAAGGGAATATAATAATCACAATGATCTATTGATTCATCACTCTGTGTCAGATACTATGTTATGCGCTTTGCATATATGGACAACCTCACAATGTAGGCACTGATATCTCCATTGTAATATGAATAAACAAAAACTTATAGTGGTTTAGCAACATGTCTATGGTTACTTTACCAATAAGGAGTGGAGGAGCAGGAATTTGAATCCAGCCCTGACCACTGAGGCCAAGATGTATACTCTTAACCTCTACACCCAGACCGATATTTCACAAAGTAGTAAAAAAGAAATAACAACAACAAAGATAAAGGGACTGACTGAGAGCTGACAGCATTTTAGTTTTGCAAAGATAAACCATTTCAAAGAAGTTAATTTTAATACGCTATCCAAACAAAAGAAAGGACATTTTAAAGACAGAAAAAGTAAGAAAAGATACAATCTCAGAATACAAAGCAACTTGTTTCCATGGAAATAAACACAGTTTTATAAAAATTCACTACAGTGCCTTTACTTTTCTTCTTCCACTGGGGATGGTCTCTGATAGGCATGAGTCTAGGGTTGGTGCTGGGCCACAGAGAAGTGCTGAGTGGTGATGGTGGGCCCTGACACCTATTGGCACTGGTTGGGATCTGTTATCAGGTACCCCAAGAGGCCATCCCCCAGTGTTGTAAAAACAGACACAAAGTTTGAGTGCCAGATGGGAGCTATATAACTTTTTCTAGAAACACCATTTTCAGAAGTCCAGATGAAATTCTCAACCAGAGATGAAAGGAATTTAAGGAAAATATGAAGAGAAAGGAAAAGATTTGGTATTCTGTTTGAGTGAAAGGCAACAAGAAAAATGGTTTGTTCATATGATAAAATTTAGCAAAGCTGATGAGAAAAAAGGTGAGGGATGATTGAATAAGACCATGTGAACTTTTTGCAAAGATGACTGGTGACCAAATGTCCTACATCCTCATTAAGGACAAAAAGGGGACATCGGCTAAAATAGCATCAGGGAGGTAATAAATAAGACATAAAGAGTGCATGATGACTCTAAGATTTCTGAAATAGTGGAATTAAGAGTAAGAAGCCTCGTTCTGACTCCTTGGCCTCATTAATTCTTTGCTGTTGACCAATATGAATGACGGAATTCATTTTTCTGATCCTCTCATTGTTATTTGGAGCTGAAGTTGAGTTCTAGGACAGGTCCTTTCTATTTGTCACCTTGCATTTTTCACTCCGATAATTTTTTTTTCATTTCTTTTTCATAACTATATGCAAGATTGGAATAAGGAACTTTCTTTTTTAAAGTTGCAGGAGACAAATATCGTATATTGGAGAGGAAGAGATCCTACGTACATCTCAGTTCGGCCTTTAGAAATGATAGCAGTAGTATGTCTATAGACACATAACTAATACTAATTATCTATGACTGCAACATTATGTCAAGAAATACATAATTCAACAATTCAGGAAATGGCTTGGGGGTGGAGGCAAGTCTGAGTTTTATGATAAGGGCCTAGCAAAGTCAACCACAGTGTGTGATAGTCTGGTACTCAGGAAACCTAAGTTCTTGCTTTTGCTTTTTCTCCATCAATAGTTTTGGGAATGTTAGCTTTCTCTCTGCACATTTACACCTTTGCACTTACCTTGTTTTTTTTTTTTGGAGATGGAGTCTCACTCCGTTGCCCAGGCTGGAGTGCAGAGGTGCGATCCTGGCTCACTGCAACCTCCGCCTCACAGGTTCAAGTGATTCTCCTGCCTCAGTTTCCTGAGTACCTGGGATTACAGGCATGCATCACCATTCCCAGCTAATTTTGTATATTTAGTAGAGACAGGATTTCACCACATTAGCCAGGCTGATCTCAAACTCCCGACCTCAGGTGATCGGCCCACCTCGGTCTCCCAGAGTACTGGGATTACAGGTGTGAGCCACCACACCCAGCCTGCACTCACCGTGTTATCCACTTTGAGTAGCAAGGTCACTGTCTCTTGTTAACAAATATGGTAGAAGTCTTAAATTGCCTTTTTCCTAAATTTAAGGAGAAAATGTTATTTCACCATCAAGTATAATATTAGCCGTAGTGTTTTTGTAAATGCTGTGGATCAGGTTAAGGTAGTTCCCTTCTATTCACAGTTTGATGGGACTTTTTATCATGAAGAGATGTTGAATTTTGTTAAATATTTTTCTGTATGAATTGATATAAATATGTGAGTTTTTAAAAAAGACTTAATATAATAATTACATTGATTAATTTTTGAATATTGAGCTAGCCTTGAGCAATAATTTTAAAATATTTCTTTTGCATTTAAATTATACATACAATATGTGCTTATTGTAGAACATTCAGAAAATATAAAAATTACAAGAAATTAACTAAAAATCACCTGAAATCTCCCTACCCAGTCATAATATTGTTAATACATCCATGCAGTTTTTAAGGAACATTTATGTAATTATATTTTTAAAGAGTTAGGATTAAAACCACATACATGTACAACATACATCTTCCTTTTGTTTAAGTGATGTTTTATCTTGAGGTTTTTTTAAAAAAATTGTTAAAATATTTCAGGTATGCTTTTGTTTCTGCAGTTTTGTACTGTCTTTAGTGTGAAATGCTCATTGACAATTAGGTTTTGCTTTGTTTTGCTTGCTATTTGTTTTTCATTATTATAAAGTTGTACTAAGCATCTCCACACATAATTTTTACTACATTTTAAACAAATCACTTAGTATTTATCACTAGAAGCAAAATTATGGGCTCCTAGCATATCAATATATTTAAAGTTATTGATACCAGGAATAGCAGTTACAAAAGTGTTTTTGTCATTTTTCATTAATGAACTTTATTTTTTAGAACAGGTTTAGGTTCACAGCAAAACTGAGCAGAAAGTACTCATCTGCCCCTGTCCCACACATGTACAACCTCTGCCACTATTGACTTCCTACACCTCAGTGGTACCTTTTTTACCATCAATAAATCTACCTGGATACGTCGTTATCACCCAAAATCCATAGCTTATGTTAGGGTTCACTTTTGGTGTTGTGTATTTGATAGGTTTTGGCAAATGTTACTACCTTTTAAAATATTTTTATCAAATCGATATTGCTGTCTCATATTTTAAAATTTACAGTTTTATTTCTATTTAGGAGATTTTTGTATATCCTATTGTATTTTTCATGTTTATTTACTTTGTTCATGCTATCAAAATGCTTTTGTTTGTTATTGAGTTGCAAAAAAAACCTTTTGTATATTAAGCCATTTCATACCTTTTCTGTTCTTATTTATGTTTTCCTCTAATTTGTTATTTAATTTTGCAGTTTGCAGTATACACACACATATTTTAAATTTTCATTTAGCCAAATATTAATTTGCTAAAATTTTAAATAGTTTCAATAGCTTTTCTATTGATTTAAAATGATTTTTCTGATCATCTTCCAATCTTCAAATGAGGACAGTTTTTTCTCTTCCCGTTCCTTTCCTTTGCAATATGTACACACATCTTGTTTCTTATTTTTCTTTTTGCATTGGCTAAGGTTTCCAGAACTTTGTTAAACATAGCAATGATAGTGAACATATATATTTTATTTCTATCTTTAATTATCAAGTGTCTTACCATTTAGAATGATCTTTATCATTGGTTCCTAATTTTTCACACAATGAGAGTGTTTCTTTGTATTTCTAGGTTACAACATACTTTTATCAGCAATGGCTCATTCCTGATTTCAATGGGAATACCACTAATTTTTGACTCTGTTTACTCTCAGCACCTATGCACTAGGATGGAACCTCAAACTATTTAGTTTAGTTTACTAAGTAAGCATGTCTTAGGATTCTTTTTGACAGCAGCCAAAAAGAGGGACCTATTAAGAGCCCCTCTCTGGTGTTTTTGTACTCTTCAGCAGTACATCTAGACCACAAAAATCAATCCAGACTTTAGTTGCTGAAAGCTGTGTATTCACGAGAAGGTCTGGAGAAAAAACTAAGTCTCCCAATTATCAGAGGCTTCTACTATTGCCACCATGTGGCAAAACTCTGAGAACCAGACACTCCTGTTTTTCACTCTTTTCCCCTGGGATTAGGAATGCCTCAGGACAACCGCTCCAGTCTCTTGCTTTTCAGGGCCCAAATACCTCCCACCACCCCAGTCTACCTGGGGACTGCTGATATCAATTGTTAGAAATCCTGTGACCAACTAAATCTCTGATTCCAGTCCACTTGGAATTGAAGATTCTTTTTTTTTTTTTTTTTTTTTTTTTTTTTTTTTTTTTTTTGAGACGCGGAGTCTCACTCTGTCGACCAGGCTGGAGTGCGGTGGCGCGATCTTAGCTGACTGAAACCTCCCAGGCTGGAGTGCAGTGGCCCGATCTCAGCTCACTGCAACCCCTACCTCCTGGGTTCAAGCGATTTTCCTGCCTCAGCTTCCCAAGTAGCTGGTACTACAGGTGTGCCCCACCATGCCCAGCTAATTCTTTTATTTGTAGTAGAGACAAGGTTTCACCATGTTGGCCAGGCTGGTCTCGAACTCCTGACTTCAGGTGATCCACTCGCCTCGGCCTCCCAAAGTGCTGGGATTACAGGAGTGAGCCACTGCGCGTGGCCCGAATTGAAGATTCTTAAAGGAAATAGAAAAATCGGAGGTAGGAAGCAGGTAAGCCATTTGATTATTTCAAAAAGCATCACTGCACCAAGAGAGATGACGCCTCAGAATTCTGGAAATTATAGAAGCTGCTTTACTGAATAAAAGGAGTAGAGAAGAGGAGAGATCAGGGTATTATCCAATCTTTTGTCAGATGAAGGGGTTTGCTCTCTTTCTTGAAAGCCATTATGGCAAAGTGGGTAACAACAAAAAATCTACGTCCTGAAAATATGAGTTTGAATCCTGACTCCAACAACACCTTTAAAAAAAGAGCTACCTCCAATTTCAAATTGGAGTTTGTGAGTAGAAGCAATTTCTGTATCTCAGCTAGAAACCAGTGAGAGAAGAACAAGGTCTCTATTGAAGTCAGGACCTAGGTTCCCCAGAAACTCAGCTATTTTGCTTTATAGTCTCCATGACTTTAAAGTGCTTTTAAGATGGGTAAGATCTAATGTGATCTGTGTTTGGCACTTTCTAATGAATGTTACTCGAGGTAGAAGAGTGATGCGACGTAATTACCATATTATAGAATATATCCAGTGTCTCT
The DNA here is from genome assembly GCF_000001405.40 of Homo sapiens. Taxonomy (NCBI): domain Eukaryota; kingdom Metazoa; phylum Chordata; class Mammalia; order Primates; family Hominidae; genus Homo; species Homo sapiens. The sequence continues at coordinate 78,690,354 of NC_000013.11, forward strand.
CATTGTAATCCTTGTTATTTTCATAAAGCGACGGCAGCCCAGAGTCAGTGGAAGGCACCGTGTGAGTGGTCCACTGGGAGAGCTTCCACTCTCAGTAATCAGCCTGGAGGCCTTGGCTCAGCACCTGGGTGATGGGCCTATATCTTAAAGAGCATCGGTAGAGCTGCTTTGAGAAAGACCTATGCCCACAAAGTTCCCTAAGTTAATTTTTTTTTTTTAAACTGCTGAGGAGCTGCCCTCATTTGCATTGACTCTCAATGACCTACCTTCAGGCAAACGTCCGCCTGCTGTCAGAGGTGTGGTTTAAAATAGAACTGTGTATTTAATGAATAACAATTTCTATATATGCGTTTCGGTGGTATTTCATGCAAGCATTTACAAGCGTGTGGTCCTGGATCAACTAGGCTGCAGGTAGAAGACTGGCACAAGTTAGTTGGTAGATGAGGTAGTGCTAATGATAACAGGGCTGCTCCTCAAAGCCTTTGTGGACTTCCCTCCTGAAACCTCCCTTGTTCATTTCATTAACGTGATTATAGCCTTTTCATTTTTTCTTTTATATACTCGCTTGTGACTTAGATCATTAGCACATGCCCTTTGCAACAGGGGATGCTGACTTGAGGTGAGAGAGAAACAGCAGGAGAGAACGAACTTGTAAAGAAATCAGACTTCATGGTAGCCTTGCAGTTTGAAAACAGACATAGAAAAATAGAGACAATATCACAAATAAGCAAAGGTATTGTTGATTCGAAATTTTGCAAATAATTGCCTGGATGAAGGCAATTCTTAATGTAGAAAAATGTCCTTAGGGGATTGGGGAATAAAAGGAAGCCACCTGAGATATTAAAGTTTAGGAAAACAACTATTTAGCACGCACAGTGGTTACTTTTTCTGCTGTATTCTAATGTATGTAAATGTAGTTCATATTGTAACAATACTCTCATAGCAAGTCCAAATGAAGGCAATATAGGTGGCACTTTGATGTTGTCTTGATCTGAAATTACAGTTATGAGTCGTGACAACATACAGATAGTGCAGGGAGAGCATATTGATTTTTTTATACTCATTTTAAAATAGAGAAAAGTGTTGTATTCCAAATGATGTGATTAGGCTAACTATTAACATCATAAAGCTCTCTATAAGATTTGCTTTTTATGTGTTTTGGACAAACAAATCAATATTGAATTCCGTTGTTAGTCTACTGTATGCTTGTATGTTTGGGCATTATTTAAATTAAATATTAAGAAAGGAGAGTGATCTCTTGATCTTACATAACCAATTCAAAGATATTTTTTTCTAGAGCCATTAAACTTTATTTCAACATAAGCCTTAAATATGTGCTGCCCCTTAACTTGATCATTGATCTTTTTTGTGCATCTATGGTTGTAATTATGTTGTAGAAATCCAGTTGACTTGGAGGTAGTAGTGATTAAAACTTGGAAATTCATAGTCTTGCTAAAATATCCTGATGTGATTGCTCAGTTATCAAGTGTACACTGTACATAGAATTCTTTAGGTTGTAGAGGAATCATAAACATTTTAGAAATCTTGATCCCTAGCCTGAAGGAAAAAGAAAGGAAACTGTCATGTATGTAGTATCTATTCTCCACCAACTGTTAGGTTATCTCTGTTATCTGAAATAACTCATAAAACAAACCCCTAAGGCAAGTATTAATATTATTATCCTTGTTTACAAAAGGGAAGACTGAACCTCCAAAAAAGTCAGTCTTTCAAGATCACTCAACTTATTAGGGGCCAAACCAGGATTCAAACTCACTTCTATCTCATGTCAAAACCTTACCTTTTCCAATAGAAAGAAATAAAGCATATGTTTCAGTATTTTGCCATCATTACAGCTTTACAGACCAGTGTATAGGTACAGACGAGGTGCTACAGGAGTCAATCTGAGTTGCAGTTAATCCAGGAACACTTTTTGGAGAGGATATTTTAAACACTTTATTTGTGTGTATTACCAGCACCCTCCTTTGCCTGACATTGTTATTTTTCTACAACGACTCTCTTCTGGCTTGTAGAATCTTTATGCTAAGTTACTAACAAAGCTGAAGTATGGCCATTTCCCTGAAATCATAGATGTAAAATAGCAGTTTCTATCTCTAGCGGTCTCTGTGGAGCCACATTTTTTGATTCACATTACAACTCTACAAAATGTGAACTTTGAAAGCAGAACATCATGAATAAAAAATAGATTGTTCACTCGAGGCAAAATGGGATAGCAACAAACTAACTCACATCTATACTGGTCATATCCTGGTATTATTTATTACAGCTCCTTCCTTTCTTCCCAAATTACCCACGTCAACAACTTTGATGAGTTTATATACTTTGTTGATTTTATGTGGATTTCTCAGAAATGCTAGTAAACCAACTTCTGTATGGTAATTCTTAACAGTTGTGTTTACGGACAAGAGTGAAAAATAAGAACCCTCACAAGCAGATGAAATTAACCTGGACTTCCCATGCAGTGGCATCTTTCATGATGTATCAATTTCAAAATTTTGCCACTGCTATTTCAGAGTGGCACTGTCTGCTGTGGACAAGAATTCAGTTCAGTAATATGAGTGGCAATGCTCTCACTATGGAAGGCTGTGCAACTTTCCTGTATTCTTGTAATATTTGTTTCCTGTTAAATTAAATAATCCCATCTTTTGTTTATATGAAATATTGAGTTTATTAACGCAAACGTTCGGTCCCTATTTAGGGCATGGTCTCCCTCTGGGCATGTATAAGTGGATTCTAAAGAAACAGACATTTTGCCTCCTATAGAATGATTTGGGGGTCTCTGAGCTCTTAGGCTGATTATCTACAACAACTGATCCATAAACCAATACTGATATTATGATCTGAGAATGGCTTTATTGTATTTTACATATTAAAACATAAGCTTCTGATTTTTTTCCTTGAAAAATAATATGCTGATTTATCCTTTTTGAATTCATGACATGGTGCCTAAGAGCATAAAATTATTTTAAAAATTCAATATTAAATGATCTCTTTTGAGTTAAATGACAAATTAGCAACAACGATTAGGCATATACCATTTAGAACAGATGCTGGTTCAATGTGAGTACAGTAAGAAACGCTGTTTAAGCTGCTGTTAGTTATAGGTGGTCTATGAAATAATTTCAAAAACTCTTAAATGAAAAGCTATATTTCTTAAAGACAAGGTGTATTTCTTTGGTCTGGAGCCAGGCTACTAAATCAAGAGTTGGAAAATCTTGATTATATTCATGATTCAGTTACTGTGTAATCATCAAACAAGTCATTAAGACTTTGAGACATGTTCTATGGGAATGTTTACCTCCCAAATATGTGAATTAGCCAAATATTAAGAAACCACTGCTTATGTCCTACTAGCATGTTTCATTTCCTGATACTTTAATTATTAGTATATCTGATGGATGGATTTCACAACTACCCTTCAAAATTACTATTAATTAGGCTCATCTGTTTCATTGGCAGCTTTTTTTTTTTTTGTTGTTGTTGTTGTTAATAACTCTGCTTTTAAAACTTAGTCTTTTCCATGTGACTGTATCATCTTTACTATAGTTCCAATTCATAACTTACTATTTACAATGGTATTAAGGGTTCTACCCATTTTAGCTTCTCATTTTAAGCTTTCACAGAAAGTCGCTATTTGTCCTCATCTAATTTTTCCTGATTTGTCTTGTTTCTCAAAATTTGTATTTTATCTTTTCTTTGTATGTTGGGGCCCTTCCCGTACTGTTGATTTCATGTTGGGGCCCATACATGTTCTTTTCATGTTGGGGCCCTCCCCGTACTGTTCCTTGATTAAGAAGATATGTTCATATATCAGTGCTTCCTTTTAAAGAAATAAGGCCTTGGAAAGAACATTTACAACTTAAATAAGATCTTATTTTATGAAATTTAAAATATAAGACAGGAAATGAGAGACTGGGAACAAGTTTATTTCAGAAAGAAAGAGGCAAACATCAAAAGAAAAGAAAAGGTAAACAAAAGAGTAGGGGAGGAGAAAAGGCGAAGAAGCTTTTGAAAATTTTATCCTGTCTTTATACATCAAGGCCTGGCATCTTTGGCACTCCCCTCCTATCCAGGAGTCCTGTGCAGAGTCTCTGCTGTGTTTTTCAACCATTCACAGGGCTATTGAATGTGCTTAGTCATTGTATATGTTACAGAAGGTGGTAATATAGTTAATGACATGTGTGTCATTGATCACTAGTCACAACAAAAAGTAATGAAGCAGCTCATGTGTGTCTGGTCCCTATTTCTGCTCTTTTAACCTTGATAGCCTTCCTTTCTGGGCTTGGGAGGGTGACGTGGGTCAGGACAGGCAGGATGCTATTCCTGAACAAGTTCTCTTTCTAGATTCCAAGTGTCTATAATAGTGCCTGACCCATTGTAGGGATTCAAGAAATGTTTACTGAGTGAATGGATGAATAATTCAAGGGCTGTGAGATGAACATGGAGTGATCCAAATCCACTTAGAATCTTCTTAATTCTTGTAATATTTGTTTCCTGTTAAATTAAATAATCCCATCTTTTGTTTATATGAAATATTGAGTTTATTAAGGCAAACGTTCGGAGGCAACAATCCTAATTCTGCTCAGACTCCTAGCATGACCCTGGAAATGCTAAAGTGAAATCATAGAATGATTTCTCTCCATCTAACCTCACAATCACATTTCTAAAAATGGCTTTATAGTTAATGTGCTATAAACAGTACAGACTTTAAGCATTCAGTTCAATAAGTTTTGATAATTGTATAAACCTGTGTAACCACTATCCCGGTAACATATAAATAATTTCTATCATTCCAGAAAGTTCCAACCTCCCTTTCTAGTTTGTCTTCACCCTCACATGCACTCTGGACTCTTTGTAGATTAGTTTTGCCTGTATTTGAATTACATATAAATGCAATTGGTTTATATTTTATATCAGTAGATGTGTGGCTCCTTTCACTTTACAATGCTTTTGAGGTCCATCTATGTTGCTGTGTATCAGGAGTAGTATTCTATTGCATGGATTTACCTCAGTTTGCCTTTCTATCTGTTAATTGGTTGTTTTCAGGCTATGGCTATTATGAATAATATTGCCATAAACATTGAACAATATCCCCAATTCGTAACCCCTAGCACCGTTCGTCTGCTCTTCATTTCTCTTATTTTCTCTTTTCAAGAATGTTTTATAAGTTGAATTTATGTCTTTTGTAACTTTTCGTAGCTGATATGTAACTTTTTGAGTTTGGCTTTTTTTTGCACTCAGCATGATATTCAGGAGATTCATCCAAGTTGTGGGTGAATTCAATCATCTGTTTCTTTCTATTGCTGAGTAGTATTCCATGGCATGATGCAGTACAATTTGTTTAACCATTCCTCAGTTGTAGGACATCTGGGCTGATTCCAGGTTTTGCTGTTGTAAATAATGCTGCTATGAACCATCATGTACAGGTTTTTGAGTGAGCATAAGTTTTCATTAATCTGGGACAAAAGCTCAAGATTTAAATTTCCAGGTCGTATCACAGTTGCACTGCAAACTTAGTTTTACAGGAAACTACCAGGCTGCTTTCCAGAGTGGCTGCACCATTCCATATTCTCACTAGCGATGTGTGAACAATCCAGTTTTCCCCACATCCTCATCAGCGTTTCGTGTTATTATTTTACCCATTCTAATAGGTGTGTAATGATATTGAGGTTTTAATTTGCACTTCCTTGATGGACTAAGCTCAAAGTTCAGTGGTGTTGAACTACTTTTTATGTGTTTATTTGACATATGTATTCTCTGTAGTGAAATGTTTGTTCATGCCTTTTGACTACTTTCTGTTTAGATTGTTTGTTTTTTTACTGTTGAGTTTTGAGAGTTCCTTATATACTCTTGATACTAGTTATTTGTGGGATTTTTTTCAAATGTTTCCCCCCAGTTTGCAGCCTGTCTTTTCATTCTTTTAACAGGTCTTTCACAGAGTAAAAGTTTTAAATTTTGATGAGGCTTAATTTATCCATTTTTCCTTTCAGGAATCATGGTTTCATGTCAGGTTGCCTATCCCTACACACTGACTGGTTTTATCTTATGTCTTTTCTAAAGTCATTCTTTTTCTCTTGTTGTTTTAGAGACAAAGTATTTCTATGTTGACCAGGCTGGACTTGAATGCCTGGGCTCAAGCAGTCCTCCTCTCTCAGCCTCATGGGTAGCTGGGACTGCAGGTGCACACCATCACACCCAACCTAACAGTTTTATAGTTTTACATTTTACAGTTAAGTCTGTGACCCACTTTGAGTTAATTTTGCACAAGATTTGAGGTTTAGATTAAGTTTTTTTTCTTTGCCTCTGGATGTCCAATTGTTCTAACACCGTTTGTTGAAAACGCTGTCCTTCTCAATTGAATTGCTTCTGCATCTTTATTAAAAGTCACTTAAGCATATTTGGTGTGGGTCTATTTCTGAGTTCTCTATTCTGTTCCACTAATTTACATGTCTATACCTCCACTAATACCACTCTGTCTTGATTATGGTGGCTATGTTATAAACCATAATATTGAGCTGAGTGATTACTTCCATATTGTATTATTTTTCAAGAATACATAGGCTATTCTAACACCGTGCCTTTTCATATAAATTTCATAAGCTTGTGTATGTCTACAAAAATATAGACAAAATCCTCTTGCTAGGATTTTGATAGGAATTGCATTAAACCTATAGATCAATTGGGAGAATTGGCGTATTTATTATGACGAGTCTTTCAATTCATAAACACAGTCTGTCTGTCTCTTTATATATTTAATCTCCTTGGATTTACATTAGCATTTTGTAATTTTCAGCATACAGATTGTGTATATGTTTTGCTAAATTTATACCCAAGTATTTTAATTTCATTGGCATGATTGTGTGAAGGGAAATTTTAAATGCAGTTAGCCTTTTCCTATCCCACCATTGTATTTTATGTGTGTTGGGTGGAGGGGGTATACAACTTGTATTTTAGTTTGTAGGATGTCAGATTGAGAGGAGACACATCTAGATGTGATGAAGAGGACTGGGCATCTTCTAGAATTCCAGGGCATTGAGACACATTTAATAACTGGAGGAAGTTTTGGATTGTCTGTCTTGAGAAATGGGCATATTCTACATATGTGATGACAGGTGCACATGGATCTTTCGGTGTCGTGTCCAAAGAGATGAAGTATACCAGAAATTATCTCATAATAGTCTGTGGGTTTTTTTTTGGCATAGTAATACAATTTTTAGTTTACAAAATCACCTAATTAGTGACTTCATTTTCCAGCTTCTCTTATATTTTGGTGTGGCCATGTGATTTAGCTCTGGTCAATGGGATAAAAGTGAATGTGATATATGGAATTTTGGAACTGTACCCACAAAGGGAAGGAGTGTACTCATCATATTCCCTCTTCCTTTTTTCCTTCTGCCTGAAACATGAATGCAGGGTTGAGCACTGTTTGAGGAGAATGACGACAACACTCCAGGATACTGAAACAATAAGATGGAAGGACCCTGACAGTCGGGAGCTGCTATATCCACCAAAAACTGCTCATTTTTTATCTTTTTACTTTCATTCTAACGTGTAAGACTACCAACCAATACACACTATCACTATTTTGGGGCAATCATTTCTCTATGTGAATATCTTTATATGGTTGAAATTATACTCTATTTTCATTTCTATATGCTTATTTTTACAAAACAACATATTGTGACTATATTTCTTGGTCAAAAAATGTACATCTACAATTACATTGAAAAATAGTGACTGGTATTCCATTAGGCACCCACCATAATTTGGTTTCCTCATATTGGACAGTTTTTGCTCTGATAGTACTGCAATGAACATTTTTCTCTGTAAATTTTTGACCATTTTTCTGATTATTTTTTTAAGATAGATCACTAGGGCTGGTCGTGGTGGCTCATGCTTGTAATCCTAGCACTTAGGGAGGCTGAGCCAGTGGATCACCTGAGGTCAGGGGTTCAAGACCAGCCTGAGCAACATGACGAAACCCCGTCTCTACTAAAAATACAAAAATTAGCTGGGCGTGGTGGCGTGCGCCTGTAGTACCAGCTACTCAGGAGGCTGAGACAGGAGAATTGCTTGAACTAGGGAGGTGGAGATTGCAGTGAGCCGAGATCATGCCACTGAACTCCAGCCTGGGCAACAACAGAATGAGACTCCATCTCAAAAAAAAAAAAAAAAAAAGAAAAGATAGATCACTAGAATTAGTCATTACTATTTGAGCAAGAGTATTTGGTTCTTAAAACTCACAACTTGCTTCCATGAAGTTATACTAATTTACATAGCCACACCACAAATGCTGCAGGAGAATGTATGTTTTCCTACCTCCTTAAGATAATTAACATTTAAAATGCTTTTGCTATTCAAATATGGGAAAATAATATTATTTCATTCTTTGTTTCAATTTATGTATTTTTATGACTCATTAGGTTGAATTGGTTTTCTCATGTTTATCAGACACATGAAATCCTCCTTCTATGAATTTGCTACTCATATTTATTTCTCATATTACTATTGATTCTTAGATATTGTTTTCATTATTCAATTTCTATGAATTCTCTACATACTGGAATACTCATTCTTTATAAAATCATGGCATATGTTTCCAATTTGATCTGTCTTCAACTTTATGATTTTTGATAAGCCAAAGTTCTAAACATATATCTATTTTGAATATATTGACTTTTTCCTTAGTTATTTCTTCCATTACTTTCAGGGTTAGAAAGCATTTCTTTCTTCAAAAATAAGACATTGTTTTAAATTTTGTTATATTTAAAATTTGTTTTATTTTTGATATTGATTTCTGAAAGCAACTTAAAATGCATTTCACTGTGTGGTATGAGGAATCTAAAGAATTGTTTCTAAATACCTAGCTCGTTTTCTCGTGACATAATTTGAATATTTCATTTTTTCTCTGTTGTTTTATGATGCTTGCTTTGTCACATGTCTCAATTCAATTTGGGCTGCTCTAACAAAGCACCGTGGATTGGGTGGCTTAAACAAAGAACAGTGTTTTCTCACAGCTCTGGAGGCTTGAAGTCTGAGATCAGGGGCCAGGATGGTGGCATTCTGGTAAGGACCCTCTTCCAGGTTGCAGACTGCCAACTTCTTGGATCCACACAGTGTGTGAAAAGAGAGAGAAAGCAAGCTCTCTCATAACTCTGATGAGGGCACTAATCTCATTCCTGAGGCCTCTACCCTCATGGCCTCATCTAAATCCTAATGACCTCTCAATAACCCCACCTTCTAATTCATCACATAGGAATTTTGGAGGAACACAAGTGTTCAGTCCATAACATCATATATTAAAGTTTTACATAAACTAAGGCTCATAGGGACTATCTATAAGATTCATCTATTTATTCTTTAAGTGGTAGCTTTTCTTCTTTGTTGGCTCTTTTAAATTATTTCTGAAAAGAATGAAACAGAAAAAAAGCCAAAGATAATTAATATAGAAATCATCTATATTTCCATTACCTAGACTTAATGATTAACGTTTTAAATATTTGTATTGGTACAGTCATTTTAGTGATTTCAGCTTTATAATATTTTCTCTAGTGGGGCAACTTTCACGTCAGTTTTTTCTCCTAAGAGCTTCTTATCTACTTTCACTTACTAATTCCCTAAATAAACTTTAAAACCACTGTTAAGCTGTCCCCAAAATTCATTGAGAATAAAAAGAATTCTGTTGGCTAATAAAATAATTGGCAAGGAATTGATGTTTTCAACCAGAAAAGTGCATATTCTCTTTTTTTAAGAGACTAATTAGAACTTCTTTATATTTCTCAATATGCTTAGTTACTTTACCCAAATTATACAATGAAATGGAAAAGTGAGATTTGTACTCATGTATTTTTTACTGAAGGTACAGTACTCTTTATAACATTACATTCTAACATTTGGCAAAGGGCCTAAAATGTACTGATAAGATCTAGAATACGAAGCACTGTGCCAAATGCTGTGATAGAAAAACAATATTGTATGAACTGGTTTTTGCATTCAAGGCACATTTTTTGAAAAACAAAAATCAAGTCTATGACACATGCAATTAATTAGAAAACAATGAAAGAGATCAGTGGAATTGTTTTGCAATAGTGGTTGCTCATGGACCTCTGTGAATTGAATGACTGAATGCAAGGTGAGCTTTTACTAAATTTCCTTTTTCTTGTTGGCCACTCAGCCTCTTTTTTGACTACTGCACTTTTTACTGCTCATGCTTATTTTTGCTCTGGCTTCTGGATGCCTGTGGCTATGTATTCACCAATTTTAAATAAACAGTCTATATCCTCCAGCTGGATGCCCTGCTTTTTGAGAAATGTCTGTGGTTTTATTGCAACAAGTACTAATGGAACTTGGTCCAATTACATAAACTTATTAAATATTATATGAATAACATTGCCACCACAACTGATGTATGTTGTGATTCACTCCCAACTCGACTGACAATAAATAGCCATTTCCCCAGACAGGCTTTTGCAGATGACTACCTCGGTTCCTCAGTTGGCTGCTGTTCCCTCAGAAAGTGGACTTGGCTCCACAGCTGCAGAAACTACAGTATAACCAGGATGCTGATGAAAAGCAAGCCTGAAGCAGGGCAGAAAGGGAATCATTGATCACGGCATAAAATTTCTTCCCATCTTCAGGTGTAGGGAGGAGACACAGGCTAACATCAGGGGCAAAATTCATATGACAGTTTTTATTATTTTTATGCTGGAACTTGCATAATCAAGAGTTGTGCTCTTGAAGATAGTCAATCATCTTGGTTGAATTTACATGACCTTCTTTTTTTGAGAAATTGTCTCAGAACATGCCTTCACTGCATTATTTCACACACCTTCAGCAGAACCTCATCTTGCTTCTTTTAGAGCAGCTTTGATTTCTGGAAATAGCCAAAATTCATTTGAAATGAAATCTACCAGGTAAAATTGGTAAACAAAAGATATACCTAGATTTTTGATGCTGATGGAGATGTGGCTCTGAAATAATAACACTGATTTGTATTTGGATTTTCAACTGGCCTTAATGACTGGGAGATAAACATAATGGCAGCCTCATTGGTTTATACAGGTTTATAGGTTTATAATTCCTGAGGTTGCTTTTTCTAAAGTCAATGCTCATTTGCAGAAATACATTCTAGTTTGCCTAATTTACTGCCAATCTGAATTCTTCTTTCATGCCTTGTCAGGAAATTGTGGGATTAAGCAGGCCTCACTATGTCCTTCTGCTGCCAAATTCAGATTTTCTCTCGTTTAGTTTGTTTTCTGTCCAAGGGGCCTGATAAAACCATTTTATAACATTGTCTCACCCAGCTGCTGATGGAATAGACAATCTATGAGTATTAAAATGATTGATTAATTGTTGGGCTACTTGGCTATTTTGGTGGGTTTCTTTTCTGGAAAATTTCAGCCATTTTGTCTTACTTTGTTATAGTTTGATGAAATCTAAATTAAAAGCTAGTCTCTTGGGTGATATTCTCTTCTTCTTATTCATAAAGAACTTAAACCTTATAGATGAATTTAATAAAATGTTAAAGGCTTACTCAGTTCAACTTTTAAACTTTTTTATTTTTTAAATAAAAAGCAGTCTAGATGCTGAAATTATGAAATCTAATTATTTGATAATAATAGTGGGACAAGCAAGGCCAATCTTAAGAAGAAGAAGAGGTGGAGTAGACAGGAATTAAAAAAAAAAAAAAGAATTCTGGCTGGGCCAAGCATGGTGGCTCACACTTGTAATCCCAGCACTTTGGGAGGCTGAGGCAGCCAGATCACCTGAGGTCAGGAGTTCAAGACCAGCCTGACCAACATGGTGAAACCCCATCTCTACTAAAAATACAAACAAAATTAGCCAGGAGTGGTGGCAGACACTTGTAACACCAGCTACTTGGGAGGCTGATGCAGGAGAATCACTTGAACGTGGGAGGCAGAAGTTACAGTGAGCCAAGATTGTGCCACTACATTCCAGCCTGAGCTATGGAGTGAGACTCTGTCTCAACTCATGATTATCTCAATAGAGGCAGAAAAGGCCTTTGAGAAAATTCAATACCGCTTCATGCTAAAAATGGTCAATAAACTAGGTATTGATGGAACATATCTCAAAATAATAAGAACTATTTATGACAAACCCATAGCCAATATCATACTGAATGGGCAAAAGCTAGAAGCATTCCCTTTGAAAACCGGCACAAGGCAAGGATGCCCTCTCTCACCACTCCTATTCAACATAGTATTGGAAGTTCTGGCCAGGGCAATCAGGCAAGAGAAAGAAATAAAGGGTATTCAAATAGGAAGAGAGAAAGTCAAATTGTCTCTGTTTGCAGATGACATGATTGTATATTTAGAAAACCCACATCATCTCAGCCCAAAAATTCCTTAAGCTCATAAGCAAATTCAGCAAATTCTCAGGATATGAAATCAATGTGCAAAAATTACAATTATTCCTATACACCAATAGTAGAGAAACAGAGAGCTAAATCATGAGTGAACTTCCATTCACAATTGCTACAAAGAGAATAAAATACCTAGGAATACAACTTACAAGGGATGTGAAGGATCTCTTCAAGGAGAACAACAAACCACTGCTCAAATAAATAAGAGAGGACATAACCAAATGGGAGAAAATTCCATTTTCATGGATAGGAAGAATCAATATCGTGAAAATGGCCATACTGCCCAAAGTAATTTGCATATTCAATGCTATTCCCATCAAGCTACTATTGACTTTCCTCACAGAACAAGAGACAACTACTTTAAATTTCATGTGGAACCAAAAAATAGCCTGTGTAGCCAAGACAATCCTCAGCAAAAAGAACAAAGCTGGAGGCATCAGTCTTCCTGACTTTAAACTATACTACAAGGCCACAGTAACCATAACAGCATAGTACTGGTACCAAAACAGATATGTAGACCAATGGAACAGAACAGAGGCCTCAGAAAAAACAGCACACATCTACAACCATCTGATATTCTATAAACCTGACAAAAGCAAGCAATGGGGAAAGGATTCCCTATTTAATAATTGGTGCTGGGAAAACTGGCTAGCCATATGAAGAAAACTGAAACTGGACCCCTTCCTTATACCTTATACAAAAATTAACTCCAGATGGATTAAAGACTTAAATGTAAAACCTAAAACCATAGAAACCCTAGAAGAAAACCTAGGCAATACTATTCAGGACTTAGGCATGGGCAAAGACTTCATGACTAAAATATCAAAAGCAATTGCAACAAAAGCCAAAATTGACAAATGGGATCTAATTAAACTAAAGAGCTTCTGCACAGCAAAAGAAACTATCATCAGAGTGAACACGCAACCTACACAATGGGAGAAAATTTTTGCAATCTATCCATCTGACAGAGGGCTAATATCCAGAATCTACAAGGAACTTAAACAAATTTACAAGAGAAAAACAAACAACCCCATCAAAAAGTGGGTGAAGGATATGAACAGACACTTCTCAAAAGAAGGCATTTATATGGCCAACAAACATATGAAAAAAGCTCATCATCACTGGGCATTAGAGAAATGCAAATCAAAACCACAATGAAATACCATCTCAGACCAATTAGAATGGCAATCATTAAAAAGTCAGGAAACAACAGATGCTGGAGAGGCTGTAGAGAACTAGGAATGCTTTTACACTGTTGGTGGGAGTGTAAATTAGTTCAGCCATTGTGGGAGACAGTGTGGTGATTCCTCAAGGATCTAGAACCAGAAATACCATATGACCCAGTAATCCCATTGCTGGGGATATACCCAAAGGATTATAAATCATTCTACTATAAAGACACATGCACATGTATGTTTATTGCAGCGCTATTTACAATAGCAAAGACTTGGATCCAACCCAAATGCCCATCAATGATAGACTGGATAAAGAAAATGTGGCACATATACACCACGGAATACTATGCAGCCATAAAAAAGAATGAGTTCATGTCCTTTGCAGGGACATGGATGAAGCTGGAAACCATCATTCTCAGCAAAGTAACAAAGGAACAGAAAACCAAACACTGCATGTTTTCACTCATAAGTGGGAGCCGAACAATGAGAACACATGGAAACAGGGAGGGGAACATCACACACTGGGCCTGTTGAAGGGTTGGGGGCAAGGGGAAGGAGAGCATTATGACAAATACCTAGTGCATGTGGGGCTTAAAACCCATATGATGGGTTGATGGGTGCAGCCAACAACCATGGCATATGTATACCTCTGTAACAAACCTGCACATTCTGCACATGTATCCCAGAACTTTAAGTATACCTATAAAAAAACAGAAATACATTTGACCCAGCAATCTCACTACTTGGTATATACACAAAGGAGTATAAGTCATTCTGTCATAAAAACACATGCGTGTGTATGTTCATTGCAGCACTATTCACAATAGCAAAGACATGGAATCAAGATAAATGCCCATCAATGGTAGAATGGATAAATAAAATATAGTACATATACACCATGGAGTACTATGCAGCTATAAAAAAGAATGAGATCATGTCGTTTGCAGGAACATGGATGGAGCTGTAGGCCATTATCCTTAGCAAACTAATTCAGGAACAGAAAACCAAATACTGCATGTTCTCACTTATAAGTGGGAGTTAAATGATAAGAACACATGGACAGTATACATAGTAAACAGTATATACATAGAGGGGAACAACAGCACTGTGGCTTATCTGAGAATGGAGGGTGGAGGGTGGGAGGAGGGAGAGGATCTGGATAAATAACTGATGGGTACTAGGCTTAACACCCGGGTGATGAAATAATCTGTATAACAAACCCCCATGACACAAGTTTGCCTATATAACAAACCTGCATATGTGTCCCTAAACTTAAAAGTTTTTTTTAAAAAAGAAAGCAAGGTCTTAAAGAGAAAAAATAAAAGAATTCTGGAAGCACTAACAGGAAAATTATTGCCACTGAATACTGAATATGTACTGCATGCCATACACTGTGTTTTGTACATTCCCTGTATTATCTCATTTGATTCTTGCAATTATTGTATTAGAAAGATATTTTCCACCCTACAATGAATTAGGAAATTGAAGCATCATGCTCAAGATGACACAATAATAAGTGGTAGAACTTGGCTTTAAACCTATGTCTTTTTAACCACAAAGTCCATTTTTTTTTGTCCTATGCTTTGCTGAATTATACATTGGTTGTGGGTGTAAAGGGTATGTCAGCCATTATGGCAGAGGAGAAAAAAAATGAGACTCTCATTTTCTTCACTGGAACTCTTACGGCTCATTTAAAACTTGGTTAAAGATGTTGAAGTGATATGAAACATAAAAATGTAATAATAGCTGGGTTTGGGCCCCTGGAAATATCAATCAATGAAAAAAGGCAGAACTGGCCTGCAACATATGTGGAGTGACTTTTCAAGTTAAAGAATAAAAACATTTTGTAGTCATCATTTTGTGTAATCTAGAATGTGTGAGGGAAGGTTATCTTTACACATCATGACACTTTGATGTTCCCATTCACTATGCCATTTTGGTTTTCTGATACAACATTTACTGTATAGTCTCTCTTCCTCTGAGGGCTTTCTTCCAGATCAAAAACATATGGAGTAGCATGGATTATTTTGGTATGTGCATTGCCTCTTCTCTGAGGCAGAAATGTTTGCTTTTCTACAGTAAGGTCATTGGGAGACTAACTCTGCACATAGAATTTCAAATATAGCCTTTGTATTCCATTTCACTGGCTAATTTACATATTGTTGCTTTATCACCTGTTTGCTTTGCTGAGAAAACACATTCAAGTATAGCAGAAAGTTTTCAGTTGCCCAATGACAAAGGCTGAAATATTTACAGTATGTGGAAAACTAGATCTAGGTGAGAAACTTTTTTTTTTTTTACAAGATTCTTGTCCTCTCTTTTATTTAAACAAATTTGGAAACCATCAAGAGGGTTTGGCTTCACTTGATTCTTTGTTTTGCATCATCTCTCATGATAATATTATTTGTTCCCTTCCTTTTCATCTTTGGGAGCTTATTTTGTAATGTCCTGTCATATTTTATTGTTAAATTGCTTGTTTAATTGTCGATCTTCCCAACTAGATTGTAAACTCCCTCAGTCCTGAGAGATTTTCTTCTCATCTTTGGGGGCTTATTTTTTAATGTCCTGTCATACTTTATTGTTAAATTGCCTAATTGTCGATCTTCTCCACTAGACTGTAAACTCTCTCAGTCCTGTTCAAAACTGTACACTCATCACATAGCCAAATACTTGACACTCATGGGTTGTTTGTAGAATGAATGAGTGAGTGTTAATTGAGCGGTTGGCTTCAGTGATTTCCCTACAGGATCAATAACACTTTCCCCTCAATATTCAACCAGATAATTTTGTTATGAGCACATCATATTTTATTCTTGCCTATAATAATCTGAATACTTAAATATATTTTGCAAAGAATTTACAAAGAGGCTAACATATGCTGAGAAATTGAAGCAGGAATGGCACTGCCTTGTATGCAAACACAGCTATCAGCTCCTCCCCATCACACCCCTCATTGAAGAGAGATTGAATCTTCTCCAGCTTAAATATCTCTGAAGCTGCTTGCCCATGGGGACTGCAAAGCTTCCAAGGCTGTGCAGCCACAAAACCTGCAGAAAGATTGTTGCCCATTGGGAACCTGAGGAGTAGTACTGACTGGCTGCCAATCCCACTAGAATTTATTTAGATTTTAGCATTATAATTTGGACACTGCATGCATTCTTAGAAAGATGTGTGTTTAAGAGAAGTAGATCAACATGAGAAAAATCTACTTTTTTTTTTTTTTCATCTGAATTAAAAGACAACAGGCTAGGCGCCGTGGTTCAGCCTGTAATCCCAGCACTTTGGGAGGCTATGGCCATGGCGGGAGGATAGCTTGAGGCCGGAAGTTTGAGACCAGCCTGATCGATATAGTGAGGCCTCATCTCTACAAAACTAAAAAAAATTAGCCAGTCACAGCGGCAAGTACCTGTAGTCCCAGCTACTCAGGAAGCTTAAGCAAGAGGATCCTTGAGCCTAGGAATTCAAGGTTGCAGTGAGCTATGGTAGTGCCACTAAACTCCAGCCTAGGCAACAGAGTGAGACCCTGTCTCTTTAAAAAAAAAAAAAAAAGGCAGGTCATACTGAAAACAATGTAGATTCCTAGGTGTTCAACAGATTTCCTTCATTGCAAGCCTTTTTTTGGTAGAAAAAAATGCAGAAAACATTAAAAAATTTTTATTCTTGGTAATAATATGAAGTATCTCTTACAGTAAAAGACTGATATAGATGAGTTAGCTTAATTTTGGTAAAGTTTATTCCTTAATGCATTATCATATGGGCCTAACATTATACTATGGGTCCTTAAATTCAATTCTGCATGTATTTATCAATCACTTTTTTTTTTTTGCTTTTTTAACATTTATTTTAGATTCAGAGGGTATATGTTCAGGTTTGTTACAAAGGTTTGTTATGCGATGCTGAAGTTTGGGGTATGATTGAACCCATCACCCAGGTAGTGAGCATAGTACCCAATAGGTAGTTTTTTAATCCTTACCTTCCTCCCTCCCTCCTACAGTCCCGAGTGTCTATTTTTCCCATCTCTATGTCCATGTGCTCCCACTTATAAGAGAGAACATGCAGTATTTGATTTTCTATTTCTATTTTAGGTCACTTAGGATAATGGCCTCCAGCTGCTCCACGTTGCTGCAAAGGACATGATTTCATTCTTGTTTATGGCTATGTAGTATTCCATGGTGTCTAAGTACCACATTTTCTGTATCCAATCCACTATTGATGAGATCCTGGGTAGATTCCCTTTCTTTGCTATTGTGAACAGTGCTGTGACAAACATACGAGTGCATGTATCTTTTTGGTAGAACAACTTGTTTTCCTTTGGGTATAACAGGTTTTCTATAAGTATGTTATCCATATAAATACAATAAATGTGTAAATAAAACTAAAAATAAGACATTGTTTAAGCCATATGCACACAAAAATGAACACAACAAATTGTGGGCAATATAATTTAATAAAATCAAAGTAGAAAACAGATAGTTTTATGGAAATCTTTCCTTTTTTTTCATTGTCTTATTCACTGCTTGTAATTGCTATCTTTCTTCCAAAGTCTCTGACTGAGTCCATGAGCTACCAACCCTATGTGCCTGAGATACTTGGAAAGTAACTCAGATGTTAACATTTCGGAGTTTGGACCATTCATTTCCTTAGGGAAATGGTTGTTCTTGTGTTGCCAACTCCATTGGTGATCTTTTGTTCCTAGGAATTTTTGAAAAAGAAGTCTTCAGAGTTTTTATTTTTTTAAATAACTTAAAAGATACCAAGTTTTCCTGGTGTATTATGATAGTAGCCTCCTAAAGATTTCTTAGGAAAATGAAGTGATCAGAAACAAGAGAGATAGGAAATATTTCCCTTTCTTTACTTAAAGGACAAAATAAAACAAAACAAAAACAAAATGAAAAATAACAGAAGTTTATTATTCTGAGAAAATTGAAGGATGCTAAAAATAGTAAAACTTCCGCTTGCTAATATCACTTGGCATTTGTAATTTCCACTAATTTAACGTATTTGAGAGATAAAATGATTCAGAGATTAAAAGATTGGAAAGTAGTAACTTTGTATAAATATACATAGCAATTACAAAGTTTAGGGGACACATATTTAGGTTCTCCCTATAATAAGTCAGACTCAATTAGTTTGCTTGTGCTTTAAGACTGTCTCATTCTGTTCTTTTGTCTATCATTGCTGGGTTCACTTGGGTCTGATCAAACAGAAATATAAGGTCTTAGCCCTGTGAGTATGCAGCTAGCCCAGGTTAGATAGAATGACTAGGACAGTGAACATAAGACTAATGACTAATGCGGCCATACAATGGCTCCTTCAGGCTGAATTGAGAATGAGTTTGGTTGGAAGAGAATGACTGTAGAAATAAGATGAAAGAGTCATCTTATTCTCACTCCACAAACAAAGAAAAAATGTTAACTATGTGAGGTGATTCATAGATAAATAAATTAGATTGATTATGTTGATGATATCACAATGTCTACATAATTCATATATCAAAACATGAAGTTGAATACCTTAAATACATGCAATTTTTATTTGTCAATAATAATCTCAATTAAGTTGCTAAAATAATTTTATTAAGCACTGTGGCTTAATAAAGATTGAAGTCAGTGCCTAATGTAATTGAAGGCTTTGTTCCTAGCAACAAATATTTGTTGAGTGCCTACATTTTCCAGATACTTTCCAGGATCCAGGAATTCAAAAGGGCAAACCTTCAGTCTTCACACACAGGCAGTGATGAGAAAGCTGTGACCTTCAGTACTAGACAGCAGAAAAGGAGACAATGGGAAAACATGCAATGGGCTGGAGGTGAGGAAGAACATGCACATTCAGCTGGAGGTGACGGAAGAACATGATATTACACATTTCTTCCCTTGTGTTAGTTGCAACTTTTCTTGTTTTGCCATCTGTACATTCTTCTACAATTTTAGGCAGTAATCGTGTCAACCCCTTTTTATCACAGTGCCTTTTGCATCCTTTTACTGTTACTGTTTTCCCGAGAGCCCCCATCCAGTGACCCAATTTCCTACATCTGTGAGAAAACAGTGTCCCTTTAGCTCATGCTACATGACACTGCAGCATTTGACCTCTCCAGGCAGCACCTGCCTAAGTACCTTATGTAATTTGCTACTTGCAAGTGTCCAGTTCCACAGTTTGTAGATATGGATAAAAAGAGGCATGAACTTCCTCCAAGACCACTTTTTTTTTTTTTTTTTTTTTGAGACAGAGTCTCTCTCTGTCGCCCAGGCTGGAGTGCAGTGGTGTGATCTTGGCTCACTGCAAGCTCTGCCTCCCGGGTTCACGCCATTCTCCTGCCTCAGCCTCCCGAGTAGCTGGGACTACAGGCGCCCGGCTAATTTTTTGTATTTTTAGTAGAGACGGGGTTTCACCATGGTCTCGATCTCCTGACCTCGTGATCGACCCGCCTTGACCTCCCAAAGTGCTGGGATTACAGGCGTGAGCCACCACACCCGGCCCAAGACCACTTTCATCAGAATGGCATATGTGTGCTTTCCTTCTTGGATAAGCATGATCCTAATTTAAGTCTCTGTTAGTAAGGTAAGGGCTTTGATTAATTTCCCTATTTGTAATGGTACATATGCACAGTTCTCTACATAAACTTGCCTTCTTTTCACTTGGGACCAAAAGTGGGCAGTCATCTTTGGGCTGGGCAGCTGAGTGTAGTGATCTGGGAACTTTAGCAATATCAATCCAAATGTTGCAAGATGGTGTATGCCCAACATCACTGTATCTCTCATCTCTGGACATGCAGTGTGCTGGGTGGTTCTTCTCCATCCTTGGTAATTTTACCACTCCTTGGGGGCAGAGAAGATTTTCTTACTCTTGTCGTTTTATTCCAATATAAAGCCAAGTCAATTTGGCATAATAGGTAGAGCATCTACTATATGTAAGATACTGTGCCAAGTGCCGGACATAATATCCAAAAAAGATTGCAGTCTCTTTAAGAGAGGCTTATAATTTCATGGGATATACAGCTATTTACATCAGTGATGAAAGGGAAAGTATTTTGAGATGTTGTTTTGCTTTTTTTTATTGGATTCTTACTGGGAACCTATTCAATTTTACGCAGTGGAAAGAACTGAGTCCATTTCACACTTTCATTGTAGGGAGGCCTCTTGGCCACTCTTTTTTTTTTTTTTTTTTTGAGATGGAATTTTGCTCTTGTTGCTCAGGCCGGAGTGGAATGCAATGACGCAATCTCGGCTCACTGCAAACTCTGCCTCCCAGGTTCAATCAATTCTCCTGCCTCAGCCTCCCAAGTAGCTGGGATTACAGGCACTCACCACAACGTCCAGCTAATTTTTTGTATTTTTAGTAGAGACGGGGTTTTGCTACGTTGGCCAGGCTGGTATCAAACTCCTAACCTCAGGCGATCCACCTGCCTCAGCCTCCCAAAGTGCTGGGATTACAGGCGTGTTGGCCACTCTTTCTAAAATTTCAGTCGCCTGTCCATATACACTCTCTGTCCCCTTTCCCTGATGAACGTTTCTTTTAGTATTTATCATCATCTAACACAGTACATATTGTACTTATTTTTCTTTTATCTTTTATCTGT
This sequence comes from Homo sapiens, assembly GCF_000001405.40. Classification (NCBI taxonomy): domain Eukaryota; kingdom Metazoa; phylum Chordata; class Mammalia; order Primates; family Hominidae; genus Homo; species Homo sapiens. Next base: position 78,711,505 of record NC_000013.11, read on the forward strand.
CTTCTGTGTTGTGAACACAAGCTTTACTCATTGCTGTATCCCCACTGCCTCAGTAAATATTTGCTTAGTGAATGAATGAATGAATGAATGAATAATTAAATGCATACACCCATTCTTTCAATGAATACCTAGTGTGTGTAATGCTCTTAGTATAAAATGGGTACAGTTTTCTAAATAAAGTAAAAATAAAATAATCCTGCCCTCATGTACATTTGGTGGGAGAGATTGAGATTAATTAGTCTCATAAATATGTAATTACGAACCCTATTTCTGTATCCTGTCCCCACAAGTAATCAACTATGAATGACTTGCCTTTGCACTGTGAACTCTAAATTGTCTAAATCTGTCTCTTAATTTGCCAAGTAGAGAGATTTATCATTACCAGATTTGTAAAAAGACAGTAAAATTTGGCATTTCTTGACAATGTTTAAGAATGATATAACGTTATGCTGCCTCTTTCAGTCTGTCTAGTATCTGGGAAAATTAATTTGACAAAAAAGTTTATATCCTACATATATAATAGCATATTCTTACCCGTTCAGAATAATTATTCAGTGGGATGCTACCCAGATTAAAGTGCTTAGAATGTGTGTGACTCTAAATATATTCTGAATTGTTTTCAGAGCAGTCTCTTATTTCAACAAATAAAATTTGGGAACGTTTAGTGTTGTAACAAGAATATCAGATTTTTAAATATTAATTTTGAATATTCTAAGCCCATTGAGTTTTATTGGTTTTTTAAGTAAACTGCAACCAAACCTGAACTTTTGGTTTCAAAACACACATACTTTGTTCAAAAAGTATCTTCAATGTTTTATTATTTTAAAGGTGAACATAACATTTTCAACTAAAGATTGAGTTTTTAGGGTCTGATATAATATTAGTTTTGAAAGATTATTTTAAAAGTGTATTTTGGGAGGCTGAGGTGGGAAGATCAATTGAGTTTAGGAGTCAAAGGCTGCAGTGAGCTATGATTGCTGCAGTGAGCTATGATTGCGCCACTGTACTCCAGCCTGGGCAAAAAAGTGAGACCCTGTCTCAAAAAAAAAAAAAAAAAAAATTAAGTGTATTACAATCAGCTACTGCTCGAGTTCCTCTCACATTCATTTGACCAAAAATATAAATATTATTTGTTTGAAATTTTTATCCATGATTAACCTCAATACTATAATGCTACTTCTTCTTGTTCAATCTCTATAACGTGCAATCTTCCAAGTAATAGTAAATAAAGTTTTCATATATATTGACAGTAATAACTAAACTATCACTGCCCACAGACCCCCCTTCTCCGAATTTTAGGATTGCAGAATTAACATAGCACATGGCTTTCTTTTTAAACTCTAAATACATACCAGCTGCAGTCTTTTAAAGTCTCATATCATTTTGTTAGCACAATGCCTGCCTACGTGAGCAAAAACATGGGAACTGCATTCTAATGCCGTTGACAAGATTTTTTATTTTCATGATTACTTCTCTGCCTTTTTTTTATTTTGCCTTCAGGCAAAGGTTGGCATACATGTCAAGAGAATGTTCTCCAGCTGGGGCCTGCAGTACAGAGAATTGTATATACCAGAGGGCTCATGGGACTCTAGGCAGATTATTATGGTAATATTGGAGGCTGTTGTCCTCTCCCTCCCACAGCTGGGCCGCCTCTCCCATTGTAAGTATTGAAGCAATATGTTTTGCAAATTATACGTTGGGAACAACAGGGACCCAGTAAAGTGAGGAAAAAGAGAAACATTGCAAAATGTTGTCTTTAATATTATATTTTTCTTGTTCATCAAGCAAAATAAATTAAAGCTTTAATTTTTTTTAATTAAATGAGGATCATATATTGAAAAAAGAGCTTTACGAGTAAAAACTTAATACTGATTTTATAGAGTGAGAGTTTTAAGAAAATATTGTTACAGAGAAATTAGACAGTAGCCTGATTCAAAAGAATCATGGTAAGATTACATAATAGCCTTTATTATGGATTTCAAAAATCCTTTTGAGTCCAATGAAGCTGGGTTAGCAAAAATTGCACAAAAAATATCATTTTAATTAGTGCTAATGTGATCTCGTCATGGTCCAGCTGTTTCGCACAGGATGAAAATGCGTTACTTTATTAGATATGCATCTTAGAAAAAATGTCACTTCTGATTTCAAACATTTGTTATTAAAGTACATTTTAATACAATAGTAGAGCAACATGATTGATTTATCGAAATGAAGCATTAGTGAAATTCAGGCAAAAAAGGGCTTAAAAGCCTTCTTAATTGAGGAAGAAATGTTTTCTTTCTC